>NT_167249.2:2303720-2411949 GCF_000001405.40 Homo sapiens | reverse complement strand
GGCCAATGTGGTGAAACCCCATCTCTACTAAAAATACAAAAATTAGCCAGGCATGGTGTTGCACGCCTGTAATCCCAGCTAGAGGGAAGGCTGAGGTATAAGAATTGCTTGAACTTGGGAGATGGAGGTTGCAGTGAGCTGAGATTGTGCCACTGCACTCCAGCCTGGGCAACAGAGTGAGACTCTGTCTCAAAAAAAAAAATCATCATCATAAGAGCAAAAATAAACTTTAAAAAAAATAAAATATTAGCTTGGCATGGTGTTATGCCTGTGGTACCAGCTACTTGGGAGGCTGAGGTGGGAGGATCACCCGAGCCTGGGAGGTTGAGGCCGCAGTGAGCCATGATCATTCCACCGCACTCTAGCCTGGGTGACAGGGCAAGACTAAAAAGAAAAAGAAAAGAAAAGAAAAGAAAGGCGGCTTACACCTGTAATCCCAGCACTTTGGGAGGCTAAGGAGGGTGGATCACCTGAGATTAGGAGTTCAAGACCAGCCTGGCCAACATGGTGCTACCCCGTCTCTACTAAAAATAAAAAGTTAGCCAGGTGTGGTGGTGGGCGCCTGTAATCCCAGCTACTCGGGAGACTGAGGCAGGAGAATCGCTTGAACCTGGGAGGCAGAGGTTGCAGTGAGCTGAGATTGCACCATTGCACTCCAGCCTAGGTGACAAGAGGGAAACTCCATCTCAGAAGAACAACAACAACAACAACAACACCCAAAAACCAAACAACAACAACTACAACAAAAAGAGAGGGAATGTCTTCAGTAATCTGTGATATGAGAAAGGTCCTAATGTTTGCAACAGGGACTACTGCTGGCATACTGATTTTTACATTTTTATTAGTGGTTAATTAGTGGAAGTGGTGGCTGGAGTAGCAAGAGTCATTCATTTCTCCTATCCTAGGAGGGCGCTTATCCAGAAGTTAGGAAACAGAGGTTCCCCTTCTGCCACACAACTTTCTGTGCCAGGTCACCTTAGGCAAGTCATTGACCTCTGTGGACCTTCGTTTTCTCATCTGTAACATGGGATGAAAGCAGATGTCCAGCCTCCCTCACAGGATTATTAGGAAGTTTAGGTAAGATAATGATAAGGTGCCTTAGAGACTGGAAAACCCTGAGCCATCGTAAGGGATAGATCCTAATGCAGTGTGTTGTCCCAGTGAGGCAGTCCTGGCAGGACCACAGGATAGTTCTTAGTCCCACAGAGGAGGGCTGGTCTGGTGCAGAGGCTGTAGTTGACATCACAGTCGATTGATAAGTTGATGTGATGCTTTGCACTGGGAGTTACACTTGAGAGAATGACTCTAAGATCAAGAGGAAGAGTTGAGTTGGCTTCTCATTTAAATATTTCATCCCTCAAACAAACAGCATTCACTTAGCCATTTGTCAGTAAAAAAGACATTTTTCACTTACACACACACTGTTGGGTGATAATAATAATAGTTTCCTTTATGTATTTACCATGAACTAAATGTTACAAGGTTACTTCAGTTCTTAGAATTCTATGATGTGTATGACGTGCTTACTCTTTTGTTTGTTTGTTTGTTTGTAGAGATGGGGGTCTCGCTTGTTGCCCAGGTTGGTCTTGAACTCCTGGCCTCAAGTGATCCTCCTGCCTCGGCCTTCCAAAGTGCTGGGATTACAGGTATGAGCCACCATGACCAGCCTAAAGTGAATTAATGTTTGATTCTCTGGCTAGACAAGCCCCACTGTGGAAAGGTGGTAGCAACAAGTTGTGAAATAATTTTGAGACCATTTAGTTCTTCTTGGCCTCAGGATGGCAGTTGTGACTGATGCAGCAGGTGTTTTTTTTTTTCTCTTTCTTTCTTTCTTTTTTTTTTTTTTTTTTTCTTGAGACGGAGTCTCGCTCTGTTGCCAGGCTGGAGTGCAGTGGCGTGATCTCTGCTTACCACAACCTCCGACTCCCTGGTTCAAGCGATTCCCCTGCCTCAGCCTCCCGAGTAGCTGGGATTACAGGCATGTGCCACCATCCCCAGCTAATTTTTGTATTTTTCAGTAGAGACGGGGTTTCCCCATGTTGGCCAGGATGGTCTGATCTCCTGACCTCGTGATCCGCCCGCCTCAGCCTCCCAAAGTGCTGGGATTACACGCGTGAGCCACCCCGCCCGGCCAGAGGGTTGTTTCTTTAGCACCTCTTCCTCTGTCCCTCCTTTCTCTGAATCCCGTACTTAAATCACTCCCTGGCTACTCAGGACCATAATCCCTCTTGACTCACCCAGTCAAAACTCACTTCTCTTGAGTCTCTCTGTCCACTGTGACATTGTCATATGATGAATTCAGGAGAACTAACTCTGTTCATGATTAATAGGTGCAAAGATGATGAGTCTAGGAAGATAAAATCTATCTGGTATGTTAGTGGCCCCTTAAACATCTGTCACCAGCCTTCAAGCTCAGGTGCCCCTCTCTTTTCCTGGGACACCCTCTCAGTGTCTAAATGTCATTAAGGTATTTCTACTTAATGTAATTTTGTTTCTCTTATGAATTTATTAAACAAATAGCATTTAAGCATTAAATAATATTCTTCTATTTATACACTATGTACACAACTAATACATAGACATTTATGGATTTAATAATCCAAACTGATTAAAACACATTATTGATTTTATTTATTTATTTATTTATTTATTTATTTATTTATTTATTTATTTTTTTGAGACAGAGTCTTCTCTGTCACCCAGGCTGGAGTGCAGTGGCGTGATCTCGGCTCACTGCAACCTCTGCCTCCCAGGTTCACGCCATTCTCCTGCCTCAGCCTCCTGAGTAGCTGGGACTACAGGTGCCCACCACCACGCTTGGCTAATTTTTCTGTATTTTTAGTAGAGATGGGGTTTCACCGTGTTAGCCAGGATGGTCTCGATCTCCTGACCTTGTGATCCACCCACCTCGGCCTCCCAAAGTGCTGGGATTACAGGCGTGAGCCACTGCACCCGGCCTAAATATTGATTTTAGACTTAAACTCATTTAAGCATTTAATTAAAATCTTTCATTTAGCTGGGCACAGTGGCTCATACCTGTAATCCCAGCACTTTAGGAGGCCGAGGCGGGTGGATCACCTGAGGTCAGGAGTTCGAGAACAGGCTGACCAACATGGTGAAACCCTGTCTCTACTAAAAATATACAAATTAGCTGGGCATGGTGGCAAGCGCCTATAATCCCAGCTACTCAGGAGACTGAGGCAGCAGAATCGCTTGAACCCAGGAGGCAGAGGTTGCAGTGAGCCGAAATCGCGCCATTGCACTCCAGCCTGGGCGACAAGAGCAAGACTCCATCTTAAAAAAAAAAAAAAATCTTGCATTTAATACATAGGATTCTCTTAAATGTCTGAAACCCCCTAAGAAGCAAATGCGTTTTTTTTTTGAGATGGATTTTCGCTCTTGTTGCCCAGGCTGTAGTGCAATGTAGTGCACTACCATGCCCGGCTAATTTTTTATTTTTAGTAGAGATGGGGTTTCACCATGTTGGTCAGGCTGGTTTTGAACTCCTGACCACAGGTCATCCACCCGCCTTGGCCTCCCAAACTGCTGAGATTACAGGTGTGAGCCACTGCACCCGGCCTACGAATGCAATTATTATTATTATTTTATTTTTATTTTTTGGAGACAGAGTCTTCCTCTATCACCCAGGCTGAAGTGGAGTGGCACCATCAGGGCTCACTGCAGCCTCAACCTCCTGAGCCCAAGGAGTCCTCCCACCTCAGCCTTCCAAGTAGCTGGGACAACAGGCCTGCACCACTGCACCTGGGTAATTTTTAAATTTTTATAGAGATGGGGTCCCACTATGTTGCTCAGACTGATCTTGAACTCCTGGCCTCAAATGATCCTCCCACCTCAGCCTCCTAAAGTGCTGGGATTACAGGCATGAGCCACTGTGCCCAGCCTGGAACACTAACTTTTAACAACTATCTGCACACAGAGAAGCATCATCACAAGAACCAAAAATCAGGTGAGCAATCACAGTAACTGGATTTAACTTCATATCACTAAAGGAAACATTGAGGAGGGCAGGAGAGACAGTCTTGAATTGTGACGCCCCTTCCGTCCTCCCTGGCAGTGTTCCTGCAGCGTGGAGAGTCTTTGCATTTTGGGGAGGGAGGGCATGGGGTGGGGGACTTTATATTGAACTCACTGCTGCACTGTCATAGCGGAGAGCAAAGTCATGCTGGGATCGACCGGCACCTGCATGTGGAGGGGGCATCTGGGCCAGCCCTAGCCAGAGGGAAATCACCTGTCCCAGTGGTTGGAACTTGAGTTTCTCTGCAAGCCTCACCACCATGGGCCAAAGTGCTCTGGTGTCCTAGGTAAACTTGAAAGGCAGTCTAGGCTGGATGCGGTGGCTCACACCTATAATCCCAGCACTTGGGGAAGCTGAGGCAGGAGGGACACTTGAGCCCAGGAGTCTGAGACCAGCCTGGGCAACATAAGGAGGCCATATTTCCACAAAAGAAAAAAAAGAAAAGGCAGTCTAGGACCCAAGGACTGCAATTCCTAGACAACTCCTAGTGCTCGGCTGGACTTACAGCCAATGGACTAGGGTTGCACTTGACCTAGGTAGACACCAGCCAGTATGGCTAAGGGAGGGCTTGTGCCACCCCTTCTCCAATCCCAGGCAGTGCAGCTCCTAGCAACGAAAGTGACTCCTTCCCTCTGCTTAAGGAGAGACGAGCAACGGGTAAAGAGGACTTGGTCTTGCATCTTGGATACCAGCTCAGCCACAGTAGGATAGGGCACTGGGCCAAGTCATGAGGCCCCCATTCCAGGCCCAACTCCCAGATGTCATTTTTAGATACCTGGGCCAAAAGGGAAGCTGCTGCCTTGAAGAGAAGGGCCCAGTACTTGCAGGATTCATCACCTGCTGACTAAAGAGCCCTTGGGCCCTGCATAACTAGCAGCAATAACCAGGTAGTACACTGTGGGCCTTGGGTGAGACTCTGAGACATGCTGTCTTCAGCAGTGACCCAGCACATTCCCAGCTATGGTGGCTATGGTGAAAGACTCCTGCAGTTTGAGAAAAGCAGAGGGAAAAGTAAAGGGGACTTTGTCTTGTACCTTAGGCACCAGCTCAACCATGGTAGGGCAGAGCAACAAGCAGTCTCTTGGAGTCCCCAAATCTAGGTGTAGATTCTGTCCTGGACCTGCCCCTCTGGCTCATGGCAGGTCCAGAGGGGAGCCTGCTGCCCTGAAAGGTAAGTCCCAGGCTTGGCAACATTCACCACAAGCTGATGGAAGAGTTCTTGGGCTTTAATTTTTATTTTTATTTTTTCGAGACGGAGTCTTGCTGTCACCCTGACTGGAGTGCAGTGGTACCATCTGGGCTCACTGTAACCTCCGTCTCCTGGGTTCAAGAGGTTCTCCTGCCTCAGCCTCCCAAGAAGCTGAGCTTACAGGCACCCACCACCACACCTGGCTAATTTTTGTATTTTTAGTAGAGACAGTGTTTCACCATGTTGGTCAGGCTGGTCTTGACCTCCTGACCTCAAGTGATCCACCTGCCTCGGCCTCCCAAAGTGCTGGGATTACAGGCGTGAGCCACCACAGCCGGCCATCTTTGGGCTTTAAGTGAACATTGGTGGTGGACTGGCAGAATTGCTGTGGACTGGTGGTGGTGGTTGCCATAGGGAGAGGCTCCTCTGCCTAAGGAAAGGGGAGGGATGAGTGGGAGGGACTTTGTATTGTGGTGTCAGCGCCCGCTTAGCCACAGTAGAACAGAACATCAGGTAAATTACCAAAGTTTTTGACTCCAATCCCTGGCTCCCAGACAGCATCTCTGGAGAAGCTCTTAGCCTAGAGGAACTTGTTGCCCTGAAGGGAAGGCCCTGGCAAAGACCCAGTGCTGTGCTGGCTTCAGATCTGACCCAGTGCAGTCCCAGTGACGGCCACAGGGGTGCTTGTGTCACCACACCCCCAGCTCCAGGTGGCTCAGCAAGAGAGAGAGAGACTGTATGTTTGGGAGAAAGTAAGCAAAAAGAACAAGAGTCTATGCCTGATAATCCAGAAAATTCTTCCAGCTCTTATCCAAGACCACCAAGGCAGTACTTCTAAGAGTCTGCAAAACCACAGCATTATTGGGTTTCCCAAGAAGGACAGGCACAAACAAGCCCAGGGCTGTGAAGACTACAATAAATACCTAACTCTTCAATGCCCAGATACCGACAAACGCCTATAAGCATCAATACCATCATGACCTCATCAAATGAACTAGATAGGCTATCAGGGACCAATCCTGGAGAAAAAGAGATATATGATCTTTCAGATAGATCATTCAAAATAGACGTTTTGAGGAAACTAAAAGAAATTCAAGGGCCGGGTACGGTGGCTCATGCCTGAAATCCCAGCACTTTGGGAGGCTGAGGAGGGCGGATCGCGAGATCGGGATCGAGACCATCCTGGCTAACATGGTGAAACCCCATTTCTACTAAAAATACAAAAAATTAGCTGGGCGTGGTGGCACGTGCCTGCATTCCCAGCTACTCAGGAGGCTGAGGCAGGAGAATCGCTTGAACCCAGGAGGCAGGGGTTGCAGTGAGCCGAGATCACGCTACCGCACTCCAGCTTGGGTGACAGAGTGAGACTCCATCTCAAAAAAAAAAAAAAAATTAAGATAGCATAGAGAAAGAATTCAGAATTCTATCAGATAAATTTAACAAGGAGAATGAAATAATTAAAAAGAATCAGGCAGAAATTCAATAGTTGAAAAATACAATGGACATGCTGAAGAATGTACGACTCTTTTGAAAATTTTTTTGAAAATTTTTTTTCTTTTTCCTTTTTCCTTTTCTTTCTTTCTTTTTTTTTTTGTGGGGGGGACAGGGTCTTACTCTGTTACCCAGGCTGGAGTGCAGTGGCACAATTTCAGTTCACTGCAACCTCTGTCTCCTGGGTTCGAGAGGTTCTCCTGCCTCCGCCTCCCGAGTAGCTGGGATTACAGATGCCCACCACCACGCCTGGCTAATTTTTGTATTTTTAGTAGAGATAGGGTTTTGTTGTGTTGGCCAGGCTGGTTTCGAACTCCTGATCTCAGTTGATCCGCCTGCCTTGGCCTTTCAAAGTGCTTGGATTTCAGGTGTGACCCACTGTGCCCAGCCTTTTTAAAATTTTATTTATTTTAATCTTTCAGAAAAGACAGAATCTCTGAATTGTAGAATTAATCAAGCAGAAGAATTAGTGAGCCTGAAGACAGGCTCCTTGAAAATACAGAGTCAGAGGAGACAAAAGAAAAAATAATAAAAAACAATGAAGCATGCCTACGAGATCTAGAAAACAGCCTCAAAAGGGCAAATCTAAGAGTTATTGGCTTTAAAGAGGAGGTACAGAAGAGATAGAGATAGAAAGTTTATTCAGAGAAATAACAGAATTTCCCAAACCTATGGAAAGATATCAACATTCAAATACAAGAAGGTTATAGAATGCCAGGCAGATTAAACTCAAAGACTACCTCAAGGCATTTAATGATCAAACTCCCAAAGCGTCAATAAGTCTGGCAGCAGATTTTTCAGTGGAAGCCTTACAGGCCAGGAGACAGTGGCATGACATATTTCAAGTGCTGAAGGAAAAAACTTTTACCCTACAATAGTATATCCAGTGAAAATATCCTTCAAGCATAAAGGAGAAATAAAGACTTTTCCAGACAAACAAAAGCTGAGGGATTTCATCAACACCAGACCTGTCTGACAAGAAATGCTAAAGGGAGCTCTTTAATCTGAAAGAAAAGGATGTTAATGAATGAGAATAAATCTCATTACAAAACTCACTGGTAATAGCAAGTATACAGAAAAACACAGAATAGTATAACAATTTAATGGTGGTAGGTAAACTACTCCTGTCTTAAAGTAGAAAGACTAAATGATGAACCAATAGAAAATAATAACTATAGTTCACTGCAGCACTGTTCATAATAGCCAAGATTTGGAAGCAACTAAAGTGTCCATCAACAGATGAATGGATAAAGAAAATGTACATATACATAATGGAGTACTATTCAGCCATAAAAAGAATGGTATCTTGTCATTTGCAACAATATGGATGGAATTGGAGGTCATTATGTTAGATGAAATAAGCCAGGCATAGAAAGACAAACATCACATGTTCTCACTTATTTGTGGGATCTAAAATCAAAACAATTGAACTCATGGACAGAGACAGTAGAAGGATGGTTACCAAAGGCTGGGAAGAGTAGAGCTATGGGTGACACGTGGGGATGGTTAATGGGACAAAAAAAATAGTTAGAAAGCATGAATAAGACCTGGTATTTGATAGCACAACAGGAGGACTACAGTCAATAATAACTTTTTTTTTCTTTTTTTTCGGATGGAATCTCCCTCTGTTGCCCAGGCTGGAGTATAGTGGCACCTTCTCAGCTCACTGCAGCCTCCACCTCCTGGGCTCCAGTGATTCTCCTGCCTCAGCCTCCCGGGTAGCTGGGATTACAGGCATGCACCAACACCCCTGGCTAATTTTTGTATTTTTTGGAATGATGGGGTTTCACCATGTTGGCCAGGCTAGTCTCAAACTCCGGACCTCAGGTGATCCGCCCGCCTCGGCCTCTCAAAGTGTTAGGAGTATAGGCATGAGCCACTGCGCCCAGCTGATAATAACTTAATTGTACATTTAAAAATAACTACAAGAGTATAATTGCATTGTTTGTAACACAAAGGATAAATACTTGAAAGGATGGATACCCAATTTTCCATGATGTGATTATGACACACTGCATGCCTGCACCAAAATATCTCATGTACCCCATAAACATATATACCTACAACGTACACACAAAATTAAAAAATCATTAATAAAATAATAAAATGAGGCCGGGCGTGGTGGCTCACTCCTGTAATCCCAGCACTTTGGGAGGCTGAGGCAGGCGGATCACCTGAGGTTGGGAGTTCAAGACCAGTCTGACCAACATGCAGAAACCCCATCTCTACTAAAAATACAAAATTAGCCTGGCGTGGTGGTGCATGCCTATAGTCCCAGCTACTCGGGAGGCTGAGGCAGGAGAATCGCTTGAAGCCAGGAGGCGGAAGGTTGCGGTGAGCCAAGATTGTGCCATTGCACTCCAGCCTGGGTGACAAGAGAGAAACTCTGTCTCAAAATAAATAAATAAATAAATAAATAATAATAAAATGAAATAAAAATAAATAAATGTACAAAACCAGGGAGTAGTTTTTAGTATACTCATGGAGTTACAAAACCAACACCATAATCAATTTCAGAACATTTTCATCAACCCCAAAAGAAAGCCCAAACCCATGAGCAGTCACTCCCAATCTCCTAACCCTCCCCTACTCCACCCCAGCCCTAAGCAGCCACTCATCTACTTTTTGTCTCTAAGGACTTACCTATTCTGTACATTTCATATAAATGGAATAATACAACATGGGATCGTTTTGACTGGCTTCTTTCATTTAGCACAATGTGTTCAAGGTTCATCCATGTTGTAGCACATATCAGTACTTTATTTCTTTTTATTTTCAAATTCATTTTTATTCTAGTGTATGGCTGTATATATCACATTTTATTTTCCATTCATCAGTTGATGGACATTTAGGCCATTTCCATTTTTTATTGTTGTTGTTGTCGTCGTTGTTGTTTGGCTATTATGAATAATGCTGCTATGAACATTTGTGAACAAGTTCTTGTGTAGACATAGATTTTCATTTTTCTGGGCTATAAACCTAGAAGTAGGATTGCTGAGTCATACAGTAACTCCATGTTCAACCTTTGGAGGAATGGTCAGACTATTTTCCAAAGTGCTGTACCATTTCACTGTCCAACAGCTGTGCATGAGAATGCCAATTTTTCCACACCCTTGCCAACACTTATTATCTCTCTTTTTACTATAGCCAGCCTAGTGGGTGTGAAATTATATCTCACTGAGGAATATAACTGTTTTTAGTTAGGTACACATCTTTTACATAAATTTTAGAATTTTGCGGGCCAAGCACGGTGGCTCACACCTGTAATCCCAGCACTTTGGTAGGCTGAGGAGAATGGATCACCTGAGGTCAGGAGTTCAAGACCAGTCTGGCCAACATGGCAAAACCCTGTCTCTACTGAAAAAACAAAAATTAGCCGGGCGTGGTGGCACATGCCTGTAATCCCAGCTAGTCGGAAGGTTGAGGCATGAGAATCGCTTGAACCCAGGAGGCGGAGGTTGCAGTGAGCCGAGATCACTCCATTGCACTCCAACCTGGGTGACAGAGCGAGACTTCGTATCAAAAAACAAAAACAAAAAAACAAACAAGAATCTCACAACATATTTTCTCCCCCTAATATAACACACTTCAATAATCTCTCTTGACCATTATTACATAATGAATTTTTCTCTCATTATGATATACTGACTTGATCTGTTAGCAGTATTAAATCTTATGCATATCTTATTTGTATTTTATTATAACTGGTAGGGCAATTTAAATATTCAATATTCTAGAAGATGAAGAATTGGGTTGACTTGGTTAGCTCTTCTTTTTAGTGATATTTTTGGTTAATTTATTGTCTTGGTACCTACTATTGAAACTCCCTTCTCTTTCATTATTGCCTCTGACATCATCTCATGTCAGACGTTCTTATTTCTGCTAACGTTCATACTTACAGCAGGGCTGTTACTGGCGGTGAATCCGTAGGTGTCTGCAGCAACCTCAATTCCTACCTCCTCAGAAGAAAGAATTTGACTGAGGGGCATAAGGCAGAAGGAGACAACGAGGCAAGTTTTAGAGCAGGAGTGAAAGTTTATTAAAAGGCTTTAGAGCAGGAAGGAAAGTACATTTGGAAGAGGGCCAAGTGGACGACTTTAGAGATCAAGTGTGTGGTTTGATCTTTTGACTTGGGTCTTTTTTTGTTTGTTTTTTGTTTTTTTTTTTTTTGAGATGGAGTCTCTCCCTGTCACCCAGGCTGGAGTACAGCGGTGCAATCTTGGCTCACTGCAACCTCCGCCTCCCGGGTTCAAGCGATTCTCCTGCCTCAGCCTCCCAAGTAGCTGGGATTACAGGTGTGCACCACCAAGCCTGGCTAATTTTTGTATTTTTAGTAGAGACGGGGTTTCACCATGTTGGCCAGGCTGATCTCAAACTCCTAATCTCAGGTGATCTGCCCACCTTGGCCTCCCAAAGTGCTGGGATTACAGGTGTGCCACTGCACCCGGCCTGACTTGAGGTTTTATACATTGCATGCTTCGGGGGTCTTGGTGTTCCTTCTCCCTTGATTCTTCCCTTGGGCTGGGCTGTCCATATGTGCAGTGGTCTGCTAGCCCTTGGAAAGGGCTGCATGCACAGTGTGTTTACTGGAGTTGTACGCATGCTCACTTGAGGCGTTCTTCCCTTGCCAGTCTAAAATTCGTAGAGGAAGGACATACACCAGTTAAACTCCACAGTTTTGCCTCTTAGTAAGCATGCTTGAGTCCACTCGCCCAACTCCTGAGATCTTATCAGGAAGCTGCTGATCACCAGTTTCAGGTTTTTTCTATCTATTGGGAGCTGCCTGTCCCTGGCGCCAGCTGCTACCGGTTATTATTTTAGAGAAACAGTTAATAACCGCCTGGCCATCACCTGATGCTCGCCTGGCATTCCTGGTGGGTGTGTGTGGTAGGAAGCCCTCTCCTGCTCTGCTCGTGCCTGACTAGCTGCCTACTATAACAGGGCTACTTGGCTTTCTCAGCATTCTCTGTGGGTTTTCTGCTTACACAGACAAAAGCAAGCACCTATCTTTGCTTTATAAACAGACACATAATTAATAGAAGAGACAAAATGAATAGTTCCCTTTTTATTAAAATAAAATTTTAAAACTCAATTCTTCTCTATTACAGTCATCTTTTGTGCCCTTTATGTGAATTTTTATCTGTTATTATCGTGATTTCATGGCCTGCCACAGATTCAATTTACTTCAATTAACCATAATTATCATTCCTCCCCCCATCTTCTTTCTTTCATGCCCGACTGTCAACTTGAACAATGGGAGCTCTTTGAAATTGGCTCCTTTGTCTTTTTAAGCACTGTCCTTGACTTACTTTCCTTCCTTCCTTCCCTCCTTCCTTCCTTCTTTCCTTCCTTCCTTCTCTCTCTCTCTCTTTCTTTCTTTTCTTTCTTTTTTGCGACAGGGTCTCACTGTTGCCCAGGTTGGAGTGGCACAGTCGCAGCTCACTGCAGTCTTGACCTTCCCAGCATCAGATGATCCTCCCATTTCAGCCTCCCACGTAGCTGGGACTACATGCATGCATCACCATGCCCAGCTACTTTTTGTATTTTTTGTAGAGATGGGGTTTCGCCACGTTGCCCAGGCTGGTCTTGAACCCCTCTGCTCAAGTGATCTGTCCGTCTTGGCCTCCCAAAGTGCTGGGATTACAGGCATGAGCCACGTGCCCAGCCTGTCCTTCACATTCTTGAAGTCATCCTTGCTCTATGGCAACAACAGAACATTCAAGTCCTGTCCTGATTCTTTCCTTCTCTGAGACATGGAATCAGTTGTCACCTAAGCCTTGCATTCTAAGGGGTCCTAGTTTCTATAAATGAAAAACAGTATTTGAAACCAAAGGCTAGGTCCTGGGGTTCCACATGACAGCTAGTGACAAAACTACTACCTCCTCTGTTGGCCACTTTTTTGTTTGTTTGTTTGTTTGTTTGAGACAGAGTCTTGCTGTGTTGCCAGGCTGGAGTGCAGTGGTGCCATCTTGGCTTAATGCAACCTCAACCTCCCAGGCTCAAGCAATCCTCCCACCTCAGCCTCCCAAGTAGCTAGGACTACAAGTGCACCACCATGCCTGGCTAATTTTTTTTTTTTTTTTTTTTTAAATAGAGACAGGGTTTCGCCATGTTGCCCAGGCTGGTCTCAAACTCCTGGGCTGAAGCCATCTGCCCATCTCAGCCTCCCAAAATGCTGGGATTACAAGTGTGATCCACTGTGCCTGGCCCATAGTTGGCCACTTTTTAAGATAGACGTTAATGTCAAATTTGCTAACTTAACATGCTGTTTGTTGTATCCTACTTGTATTAGAGAGAGCAGGGTAGACTCATCATGAAAACTTTCCACATCACTGAGAGACAATGAAGGGACCATACCCAGGTTTATGCAGGAATGAAGTGAAGGAACATGTGGAAGTTAAAGTCAGTGTGGGGAAGGCTGGAGAGTGTGAATTGGGCAACACTCCACGTAAGGTGAGGTCAGCTGGGAAACCAGTCCACTGTAGAGATTTTGAAGTCATAAGTTTGAGATAAGGTGAAGTGCTCAGTGATTTTTCCACCTGTTATTTTCACCTAACAAAGACCTGTTTGAGCTATAGTCATTCAGGATGTGACCATGTGTCCCCCACCCCCAAAAGATATGCTGAAATCTTAATCCCTGGTACCTCAGAATGTGATCTGATTAGGAAATAGGGTCTTTATAGAGGTCATCAAGTTAAAATGAGGTCATTAGGGTGAGCCTTAATCCAATAGAATTTGAGTGGAGCCTGGAGCATCTGCAGGACCCAAGAAAGTGACCACAGAGAGGGGCCAAGGGGTGGGGGTGCTGGTGCTGACACTGCAGAGCCTTCTAGGCCTTCTTAGGGATTTGGCGTTTTACCTGTATCTGAAGAACAAGGGTTGCACTGATGGCAAGCCAAGATGCATTGTGTTTGCTAGGGGCTGCCAAGTTGCCAAGAGAGGAAATGACTCTGCAGATGGTTCTGCAGGGCCTGGCACAGGGCGAGTTTCCTGCATGAGGGAGGTGCTTTTATTTAATTGTTAAATTTGTTTCCTGTTTATGCCCTTCTTTCTCATATGGGGATGTTCATGGCCTCCTGCCTGGGTGGTGACAGCACTCTCCTAATTGGCCTCATACCCACAGGCTCTGCGTCCTCCAGCCCATCCTATAAGTCAGCTCATCAGACCTCTACCCTGCTCAGGTACTGGCTGGGTGCAGAGCCTGCAGCTTGCACAGAAGGTCGTTCCTGTGCAGCTGACTGCCCCTCCAGGCTCTGTCTGTCTCTTGTCCTCACCCTCACCCCTGCTCCTGCTCTCTGCTGGGCAGACACCACTGGTGGAACTCATGAACATTTGCAGAACTAATGACTGAAGGCACCAGGGCCCTGGCAGCCACCCCACCCTGCACGCAACTGGAGCTCTTCACCACTCTGCACTTTGGTTCTGTGATTTGCCCACCTCCTCTTTCTCTGCCTGTTAAATGGAACATTCATTTGCTACATTCCAGTTCCAGAAGCTTTTAACAAAACCCAGGGAATCCTAGAAGGGTACAGTAAGAGGAATGGAAAGAGGAAAGAAGTTAAAATGTATTTGGTGGCCAGACGCAGTGGCTCATGGCTGTAATCCCAGCACTTTGGGAGGCCGAGGCGGGCGGATCACTTGAGATCAGGAATTCAAGACCAGCCTGGTCAACATGGCAAAACCCCATCTCTACTAAAAATATAAAAATTAGCTGGGCGTAGTGGCGGGCAACTGTAATCCTAGCTACTCGGAAAGCTGAGGCACGAGAATCACTTGAACCCCAGAGGCAGAGGTTGCAGTGAGCTGAGATCGCACTACTGCACTCCAGCCTGGGTGACAGAGTGAGACTCCAATTCCAAAAATAAATAAATAAATAAATAAATAAATAAATAAATAAATAAATAAGTGTGTTTGGTTCAGGGGAAAGACTAAAGCTACTGAATAACCTTTGATGTTAAATAAAATTATAACTTTAAATAGATGTAAGGGAAATCATGAATTAGACTAGAACTAAAGATGCATGTTTTAAACTACTGGAAGGGCTGAAACAACAACATAGAGAGCAACCCTTTCGGTGAAAATCAGGGGAAAAAATAATACTCAGAAAAAATAAAGTAATATAGACATAAAAGCTTATCTCTTTTTTAAACAGAGTATTCGTGTTCCATGAAACTGCTGGTGATAATTTTTAAAAAGTGTATTCATGGAGAAAGTTCTGATGAGATATATTTCGGCGGTTATTCCTTGGTGGTAGAAGCTTTTCAGGACTTTTCAACTTTGTACTTTGTACTTTTACAAAGACCTGTATAGTACTGGGTTTATAATAAAAACAAAACAAACACAAAAGCCCATTCATCTGCAAACAACTCATTGTTCAAGTCTTTCCTGACCCTCCCACTGAACTCCCAGGCTGATGGTGACTTTCTCATGACATTGAAGGACATTGAATAATTATAGTTATAACTACTGTAACTAATGGGCCCAGCACTAAGCTCTCTAAGCCTCATCTTCCTTATCTGTAAAGTGGGGATAGTCAGAGTTCCCATGTGATAGGCTTGTTGAGATGACTCAACCAAATATTTGTATACGAAATTCTTAGCATCGTGTCTGGCACGATAAGAACTCAATAACAATTTGCTGTTGTTACCATTATTATTATAATTTATTTTATGTTATTTTTTGAGTGACAGAGTGTCACTCTGTCCCCCAGGCTGGAGTGCAGTGGCACGATCTTGGCTGACTGCAACCTCCACCTGCTGGCTTCAAAGGATTCTCCTGCCTTAGCCTCCTGAGTAGCTGGGAATACGCCCCCGGCTAATTTTTTTTTTTTTTTTTTTTTTGAGACTCGCTCTGTCACCTAGTCTAGAGTGCAGTGGTGCGATCTCGGCTCACTGCAACATACGCCTCCCAAGTTCAAGCGATTCTCCTGCCTCAGACTCCCGAATAGCTGGGATTACAGGCACCCGCCATCATGCCCAACTAATTTTTGTATTTTTGGTAGAGATGGGGTTTCACCATGCTGGCCAGGCTGGTCTTGAACTCCTGACTTCAGGTGATCAGCCCACCTCAGCCTCCCAAAGTGTTGGGATTACAGGTGTGAGCCACCGTGCCCAGCCTAATTTTTGTATTTTTAGAAGAGACGGGGGTCTCACCATGTTGACCAGGCTGGTCTAGAACTCCTGATCTCAGGTGATCTGCCCACCTTGGCCTCCAAAAGTGCTAGGATTACAGGTGTGAGCCACTGCACCCAGCCTCTAACTTACTTTAATTCCAAACATCCTTCCAAGGTAGGCATTATGAGCTTTATAAATGATGAAAATATGGCTCAGAGAGGTTAAGTAATTTGCCTAAAGTCACACAGCTAGTAAAGGGTTTCCTGGGACATTACATGAAAGTTAATCACCTACGAATGAAAGTTGTGGGGAATCTGTGCACAGTGAATGAGAGGCACTAACTGGAAAAGACACTGTAGATGGTGCTAAGGAAATTGGGGAGTAAATAAATCCAATCAAAGGGAGCCAAGGGGAAGTATGCATGGATAAAGACTAGACCTAAGGAAGCAAAAATCAAATCCATGGTACTAGGCGCCAACTGAAGAAAGAATGTGGATGCAGAAGAGGGTGGCCTTTATGGAATCTAGGAAAGCGGGGCTCAAGGGACAAGAATCATGAGCTGTTTAGTCATTGTTCCCTGCAGGGGAACATGAAGACAGGTATGTTCTGGCCATGAGTATTCTGTTGTAACCTATTTTAATTTTATTTTCTTAATTTTCTTTAATAGAGACAGGGTCTGGTATGTTACCCAGGCTGATCTCCTGGGCTCAAGCGATTCTCCCACCTCAGCCTCCCTAAGAGATTGCAGGCATGAGCCACCACGCCCAGCCATAACCTACTTTTAATCAGCAGCTTCAAAATGGCTGTGACATCAAGTGTATAATAACACTGAACTCACAGTCATGCTCTACATATCAAAAGATGGGTGGAGAGAGACTTCTTCTGTCAGTTTGATGGAAGAATATGTGTGCCATCTGTTTCATGTACACTAGAATTCATCCCTGGATTAAGCCAGACCAGTGGCATGGACACACAGCATGGGACTGCACTGATCTGACTGATTCTGCCGGAACATGGTGCCACCAGCTGTAACAGGAACACTGAAGAAATGAATAAATCCTATGAAAACTTGTATTTATGGTAGTGGTGTGGTTGAGATGTTTTTCACTTTATCACACCCCTTCTGGTCAAGGGAGACCAGAAGAAAACTGCTTCCTGGTCTCAGGGAAAGGAATAGTTGTGCTACTATTGCGGGACTTTTCCTTAGTTCAGCTAAAGACGGGTTCTTTGTCCCACAGCCACGAAAATTCAGGCTCACAGACAATCTGAATGGTGAATGAGACGGGTTTTATTGGATGAAAAGGAAGAAAACGGAGAAACAGGGACTGTCGCTAGGCCAGAGTCCCTACTAGAGCGCTTCCCACCCGCCATTCAAATCCCAGGATCCACACACTAAGAAGAGGGGCCAGGCTGCTCCCCGCTGCAAAGGGCACAAACTTCCTGAGGCTCCACCTCAGTGGGCAGGCTGGTTGGCATTTCTCCAGGGAACCCCTCCCACCTGGCTGTCTCACTACTTCTGAGACTTTGGACACTGGAAGCCATGTGATGATTGTGTTTCCCTCTTTGAATTGGCTTCTAGAGAGCTCAGTTCCAAACCTGCAACCCCCACCCCCAGCACAGCATGATGTTTATACTAATCTTACTGGTTTTATCTGATTTTTCTAACTCTTTACTTGCCTTCGTATTTTTCTTTCTTTTTCTTAGAGATTTTGGGGTCTCACTCATAGCTCACTGCAGCTTCAAACTCCTGGGCTCAAGTGATCCTCCAGCCTCAGCCTTCTGAGGAAGTAGCTAGGACTACAGGCATGTGCCCCAACAGCCTGGCTAATTCATTTTATTGCTTTTTTAGAGATGAGATCTGGCTATGTTGTCCAGGCTGGGCAGTCTCAAACTCCTGGCCTCAAGCAATCCTCCTGCCTCAGCCTCCAGAGTAGGTGGGGTTACAGGCAGGCACCACCAGGCTCAGCCTTAGTTGTAATTTTTAATTCTGTTGTATTGTGTTTAAGCTATTTTAGATTTTGTTTAAAACAAGGCTGGTATAGATACATACAATGTTTTATTCCTGGACTGGGTTTTACTATGACCTGGATGAAATACTCCTAAAATATCTACCTCTCTTAACTTTGATTTCTTGGTCACCCAGCAACGTATTTTGATTGGCAGTCAACTTTTCCTTTCAGGTATCTTGCTACTAGTTTATTTAGTTATTTTGTCATTTCACTGTTTCCATTCACTAGTTTCCATATTTCATTGCGTCCTTTTTTGCTCTTGTGTGTTTTTTTTTATGTCATTCTTTTAAGTTTATATCATATTTGTGTAATGTGGTTTTTTTCTTAACTTTTAAATTATTTTGAAGTCAATTTCATTACAAATTTCTTTTTTTAGCCAGGTGCAGTGGCTCACACCTGTAATCCCAGCACTTTGGGAGGCCGAGGTGGGCAGATCACCAGAGGTCGGGAGTTCGAGACCAGCCTGACCAACCTGGAGAAACCCTGTCTCTACTAAAAATACAAAAATTAGCCGGGTGTGGTGACACATGCCTGTAATACCAGCTACTAGGGAGGCTGAGGCAGGACAACCACTTGAACCTGGGAGGTGGAGGTTGTGGTGAGCCGAGATCATGCCATTGTACTCCAGCCTGGGCAACAAGACTGAAACTGCGCCTCAAAAAATAAAAAATTAAAAAAAATAATTAATTAAATTAATTAATCATTATTATTATTATTATGAGACAAGGTCTGGCTCTATCACCCAGGCTGGAGTGCAGTGGCACAATCACAGCTCACTGCAGCCTGGACTTCGCTGGCTCAAACGATCCTCCCACCTCAGCCTCCCAAGTAGCTGAAATGGATACGTGCACCAACACGCCCGGCTAATTTTTGTATTTTTAGTACAGACAGGGTTTCGCCATGTTGCCCAGGTTGGTCTCAAACTCCTGAGCTCAAGTGATCCACCTGCCTTGGCCTCCCAAAGTGCTGGGATTATAGGCATGAGCCACCATGCCTGGCCTAAAATTTCTTTTACTGTGGTAAAAATAAACATATATATAATTCAGCTATAAACGAGGAATTACATTCTGATACATGCTACAACATGGATGAATATTGAAAAAAAATTATGCAAAATGAAATGAGCCAGAAACAAAAGGACAAATATTGCATGATTTCACTTACATCAGATATTTAAAATGGGGAAATCTGGTTTGTCAGCACAGCAGGGAAAAAAATAAATAAAAATAAAATAGGAAAATCATAGAGGTGAAAAGTCAATTTAGCCAGGTGTGGTGGCTCATACTTGTATGTGTGTGTGGTGTGTGTATATATATATGTGTGTGTGTGTGTGTGTGTATGTTATATATATGAAAATGTATATAAGGTAAGATTTCCCATTTAACCATTTTATTTTATTTTATTTTATTTTCTCAAGACGGAGTCTCGTTCTGTTGCCCACGCTTGAGTGCAGTGGCATGATCTCGGCTCACTGCAACCTCCACCTCCTAGGTTCAAGCAATTCTCCTGCCTCAGACTCCTGAGTAGCTGGGATTACAGGTGCCTGCCACTATGGCTGGCTAATTTTTGTATTTTTAGTACAGATGGGGTTTCACCATGTTGGCCAGGCTGGTCTTGAACTCCTGACCTCAGGTGATCCTCCCACCTCGGCCTCCCAAAGTGCTGGGATTACAGGCCTGAGCCACTGCACCCAGCCTAACCATTTTAAATGTATAATTCATTGGCATTAATTACATTTGACGTTGTTGTGCAGCTGTCAACCACTATCTGTTTCCAATTTTTTTTCATTACTCCAAACAGAAACTCATTACCCATTAAGCAATAACTCCCCATTCTCCTTTCCGCCCAGCCCCTGGTAACCTCTAATCGACTTATTTTCTTTTCTTTTTTTTTTTTTTAGAGGTGGTGGGGGTGGGTGTCTCACCATGTTGCCCAGGTTGGTCTCGAACTCTTGGCCTCAAACAGTTCTCCTGCCTCAGCCTCTCAGAGTGCTGGGATTACAGGCATGAGCCACGGCACCTGGCCAAATTGACTTTTCACCTCTATGATTTTCGTATTTTACTTTATTTTTTTTCCTGCTGTGCTGGCAAACCAGATTTCCCCATTTTAAATATCTAACGTAAGTGAAATCATACAATATTTGTCCTTTTGTGTCTGGCTTATTTCATTTTACATAATTTTTTCAATGTTCATCCATGTTGTAGCATGTATCAGAATGTAATTTCTGCTGGGCGCGGTGGCTCATGCCTGTAATCCCAGCACTTTGGGAGGCCGAGGCGGGCAGATCACCTGAGGTCAGGAGTTGGAGACCCGCCTGGCCAGCATGGTGAAACCCCGTCTCTACTAAAAAAAATACAAAAATTAGCTGGGCGTGATGGCGCGTGCCTGTAATCCCAGCTACTCAGGAGGCTGAGACAGGAGAAACCCTTGAACCGGGGAGGCGGACGTTGCAGTGAGCCAAGATTGCGCCACTGCGCTCCAGCCTGGGTGACAGAGCAAGACTCTGTCTGCAAAATAAAATAAAATAAAATAAATAAATAGAATGTAATTTCTTTTTTATGGCTGAATAATAGTACTTTGTAATATTTTCATTATTGTGTATCTTTAAATTAATTTTAACGCCTTTTTTTTTCTCTCTCTCTTTTTTTTTTTTTGGTAGCGATTTGGACCTTACTATGTTGCCCAGGCTGGTCTCAAACTCCTGGGCTCAAGCGATCCTCCCCTCTCGGCCTCCCAAAATGCTGGGATTACAGGCGTGAGCCACCTCGCCCTGCCATCATTTTATTTTTTGAATGATTTCTTATTGTCTTAACTTCTTAGGTGACTAACAATGAGGCTTGCTACTATCACCCTAGCATAATGATATCATCCTTAGCAAGGGAGTTGGGCGCTCTTACCGGTAGATGGCGCTGTCGATCTTTTAAAAAGCGAGCTCTCCTGCCCTCCCACTTTGAGCTCGCTGAGTCAAAACACAGCCTGAATAGTTTAGGAGCTCCAAAGCCCCGCTTATCTCCACTTTCCAAATTCTCTCTCATTAAGACCAACAAAAATTTTACCTTTATTATTAGTTATGTGACCTGCTAAGACAATTTATAACACTTTTTATTATGGAAATTTTCAAACTTACACAAAAATAAAGAAAATACCTCTATTTACCTACCATGGGACTTCAACAATTATTAGCATTTACAAATCTTGGAACAATGTTATTTTCTCACATTATGTTCTATCTCATCCCTCTTAAAGAGTTATCAGATGGGAAATCCATGGTCTAGGCTCAATAAAATCACTCTACATTAGGAAAGTCTTGGAAACAGATTGCGTTTTAGCAGGAAAAGGAGGGGGGTTGATGATTTCATTCAATAAAACAGCCTTAACTCACCGCCGTGACCAATAACCGGGTAATGTGGAAGCTCCCCGTAAGATTCCTCGTGGAAGGCAAAAATAGAGCACAACTGGGCTTTTGAATACCTCTTACATCTGCCTGCCTTTGTCTTGTCTATTTTCCAACCTGATTTCACCTGCTCCCTATCAGGATCTTAGCCTCTCAGGGTGCAGCTGATCTCAGTTCCTTTCCTTATAGTGAGACCAAGATAAGTTGACTGGGCCTGGAAATATTCTCAAGAGAGGTTTTAGAATGGAGTCAACTGCATTTCCACTGAGTCATGTCTGAAGATAAATCACAGGGCATCTATTCAGCAGTCCAGGCTGATGTCTATCTTACTTCCTGAATGTGGGTCTCGGGTATCCCTCAGAGCAGCTGTCTGATATCAGGAAGGGAAATGTGTGTTAGAGATGGTTTATTGTTATAAGTCAAACAAATAAATTATTGAATAAAACATGTTCCAGCTTTTGTCTTGATAAATATACCTTCATACTGATCTTGAAGGCTAGTGTAGCAGATACTGTTGTGTGCCACCCAAATCCTACCTTCAACATTGTCACTTATTCCCCAGCTGCCAGGGGTGTTGGTTGTGACAGCTCTGTCTCTGGGAATTGCCCTTAGCTGAAAAGAGCTGCCTTGCCCAAGGTTACACCTCCCCTCCCTGGGGGCAGCCACATCCAATGACTGATAGATAAGATAAGAACATACAAAGTCCTGGTTACCTTGCTTCAAGTTTGGCCACCTTTTTGTTTGTTTGTTTGTTTGTTTGTTTGAGATGGACTTTCGCTCTTGTTGCCCGAGCTGGAGTGCAATGGCACAATCTCTGCTCACTGCAACCTCCGCCTCCTGGGTTCAAGTGATTCTCCAGCCTCAGCCTCCTGAGTAGCTGGGATTACAGGCGCATGCCACCATGCCCGGCTAATTTTTTGTATTTTTAGTAGAAACGGGGTTTCACCATGTTAACTAGGCTGGTCTTGAACTGCTGACCTCAGATAATCCTCCCCCACTCGGCCTCCCAAAGTGCTGGGATTACAGGCGTGAGTCACCGCGCCCGGCCGAGTTTGGCCAAATTTAAAGGACTTTTCCAGTGCCAGAGGCCTCCACAACCCATGAGATCAGCTCAGTACTCTTTACGGCTTCATTACAGTCCAACTGCTCCCTTTCCCTGTCCCGTTTCTCTCAGCTTTTAAAGGTGTTTGTCCCAAGATTGTTCCCCAATAAAACTTCTGCAGATAAATCTATCTGAGAATCTGTTTTCTGGGGAATCCAGGCTAAGACAGCCAGGCTGGAATTTAGAATTCTGAGACTCCCCTAGGTTCCATGGCAGAATATGGCTGAGTGAGGAAAACTAGCTCTGGGTCCTCTACCTGCATCTGCCCTACTTTCTTTTCCTGAAAATTCAAGTCCCTAAAATCTCCAGACCCATATCCTTCTCTGAAAACAGCCACATTTTGGGGTCTCAGAGCATGCACGACAGCAGCGAGGCATAACCCCCGGGAGGATGGCCCCAGGAGGAGGCCCATGCAAACTTGGAAGCAGGCTTGGGGGCCATTAGTGCCAGGAATTCAGGGGTTCCAAGTACCTAGACTGTAGTACTTGTAGAAGAGATGCAACCTCCATGGGTAGGTCTATCCCTTTGGCTTCTCGGACTTTTTGTCCTATAAGTTGGGGGAATGATAGAGCAGGTCCCTCTAGATCATGGAGCCCGGGCAGGGTCCTCATGTGCTTGGATCCAAGGGTGGGAAAACATTTTCTACCGAATTTAAACCAGTGGCATTTGTGTCTCTGTTACAAGCAGCCAAAAATTTATATTTTAACACGTCTAGTTGACTTCCTGCACTTCTATGCCCATCTTCCTAAAAGAGAACAGTGTATCTCTCTAAAAGGGACTTCATCCTTTACTCTCAGGTCCTAGAATATACTGATGTTTCCTACATGTTAATTATGCTTTCCACAATCAAAATTTGATTTCATTAGGAAATCCATTCATGCAAGAGATGTCTCTAATTAAAAACTATCCAAATAACTTCTCCAATAACCAACCACACTGGCCTTTTTGCTCTCCTCCCTGCTGAGGGCTTATATCCCTGGATATCCTTTGATATCCAGCCCTGCTCTCTATAGTGACAATCTACAGGAACATTTCCATTTATTGCCTCTCCAGTGATTCTCAGCTCTTTGCAAACAAAATTCCATCCAGTTCCTTCAAAGGGCAGTCCTTTAAAAACCATGAGCCTATACTGTTAGTCATGATATGCGGAAAGAGATTGTTGAGGGTCTCAAGTACCAAATCCACCTACTGCAATGCATTGAGAAAATATGCATCAACTGCTTGTTCTGATAATGTACTGTAGTATGTAAGAGCTTACCACTGGGGAAGCTGCGTGAAGAGTGCACAGGACATCTCGGTACTAATTTTGCAACTTTCTGTGCATCTTTAGTTATTTGAAAACAAAAAGAGAAGAAAAAAAAAAAGAGGAGGAGGCAGGACATTAAAAAATATAACCTTATGGATGGGCTTGGTGGCTCACATCTGTAATCCCAGCATTTTGGGAGGCCGAGGCCGGTGGATCACGTGAGGGCAGGAGTTCGAGACCAGCCTAGCCATCATGGCAAAACCCCATCTCTACTAAAAGTACAAAAATTAGCCAGGCGTGGTGGCAGGCGCCTGTAATCCCAGCTACTCAGGAGGCTGAGGCAGGAGAATTGCTTGAACCCGGGAGGCGGAGGCTGCAGTGAGCAGAGATCTTGCCACTTCACTCCGGCCTGGGCAAAAGAGTGAAACTCTGTCTCAAAAACAAAACAAAACAAAACAAAACAACAACAAAAAACTCCTTATTCAAAAATCGAGGCCATTCCAGATAAAGGAACTCTCTTTATATCTACAATTTTGGCTCCAAACTTTATTGTGGCTTCCTACCTTAGTGAACTGGATTAGTGAGCATGTGTGATTGCAGTGACTGCTTAAAAAAGAGACAGGGCAGCCTGCCCTGTCCCATGAGTCCTTCCCGTTGGGCTTCCATAAAAGGGGTGAAGTGTCCTTCCCCAGCAGGAGGCGGCATTGAGTAATTCTCATGACACCAGCCTTAAAGAAGGACTTACTTGGCCTGCAGTCTGCCACACACATCTCCCTCAGGGCCCCAGCAGGGCCTCTGCAGCTAGTAGGTGCTTAATGGAGGATTTTAGGATTTTGCATCTTGGTTATCTCATCTTTGAGGACTCGACCTACATCTGGCAAGTCTAGGAGATGGAATTGAGGAGGGCATATGCACAGAGTACTGGGAATTAGAGAGCTGAGTCACTGGAGAGTCTCGAACCTCAGAGCAGCTGCCTTTCTCTTGGACTCAGGCCAAGATTGAGGGAGACTGACGACATATTGCATCTCACAGGTTCCCAGGGGCACAAGGCTATTTGCGACCACAGCAGCTCCGTTTGGCTAAGGAGGCCTTGGGTTTCTGAGGGATAGGAAGAATCAGAGCAGAGAAGAGCAGATGGAATGGTGACCGACGTAGGGCCCTGAAGTTTACTTAGGGTTGTCTTCTAGAAATGTGAGGTGCTGTGTTTACAAAAAAAGCATAGCTTGCACTGCTCTCAGTCTCAGGTTCCCAGGGGAAAGGGCTAAATAAAGACAATCTGCAATGCATTGGAAGGAAAAACTGAGAGGCTTATACATTTATGAGAGGTATCCCCACTATGTATTTGTAAATCTTCCAGAATGTAGGAATGTCCAGATGCCATTAAAAAAAAAAGACTAACTGTATTTATTCATTTATCTATTTTTATTGACATTGTAATTGTATATATTCAGATGCCCTTTTTTTTTTTTGAGATGGAATTTTGCTCTTCTTGCCCAGGCTGGAGTGCAATGGCATGATCTCAGCTCACTGCAACCTCCGCCTCCTGAGTTCAAGCAATTCTGCTGCCTCAGCCTCCGGAGTAGCTGGGGCTGGGACTACAGGCATGCACCACCATGCCCAGCTAATTTT
The DNA here is from genome assembly GCF_000001405.40 of Homo sapiens. Lineage (NCBI taxonomy): Eukaryota > Metazoa > Chordata > Mammalia > Primates > Hominidae > Homo > Homo sapiens. The sequence continues at coordinate 2,386,740 of NT_167249.2, read as the reverse complement.
TCTGTACTTTAGTACAGACGGAGTTTCGCCATGTTGGCCAGGCTGGACTTGAACCCCTGACCTCAAGTGATCCTCCCGCCTTGGCCTCCCGAAGTGCTGGGATTACAGGACTGAGCCACCTCGCTCAGACTTTTTTTTTTTTTTTAAATGGAACCCTTCACAAATTTGTGTGTCATCCTTGAGCAGGGGCCATGCTAATCTTCTCTGTATCAGATGCCACTTTCATTTTTAGACGGAGTCTCACTCTGTTACCCAGGCACCTGCCACCATCCCCAGCTGATTTTTTTGTATTTTTAGTAGAGACAGGGTTTCACCATGTTGGTCAGGCTGGTCTCAAACTCCTGACCTCAGGTGATCCACCCACCTTGGCCTCCCAAAATGCTGGGATTACAGGTGTGAGCCACCGCTCCTGGCCTCTTTGTTTTTTAAACTCAGCACTCATCTTAGTATTCTAATATATTATCTCCTAAATAAGTTTTTATTTAACTATTTAAAATTTTTATCAGATTTATACAGATATGTAATTTTAAAAGCCAAATATATATGTGTGTGTATATAAATTACAGATATGTAATTTAAAAAGCCAAAGACAGAACAAAAGCTATAGTCCGGTACCAACCCCTAATTCTCTCTTCCTAGAAGTAAAAGCACTTCGATGCTCAATTAGTTTTTATCTTCCTGTTTCTTAATAACAAGTTATATCAGTCAGGGTTCAGTGCAGCAACTAGAGATTACGCTAGGTAAATTAACAGGAAGACATTTTACAAAGGGTATTAAGAGCTTGTGAAATCTTTATAAGGGCTGAGGGCACAGGTTCTAAGCTGGGCTTTATGGAATGATATCCAGAACTATACAGATCTACTAGGTTTTCTTTTGATCATTTGTCTATGAATTTATCACAAATTTGTCAGCAGATTCTATAGAAGTCTATTTTTTCTCTGCAGTCTAATGTATTACAATTAATCAATTCCCTCTTTTTCTTGGTAATTTCTTTCTGTAACCAGGTAAAGGAATTTTCTTAATCCCTGAGGTTTTGGCCCCAAGCCTTTTTTTTTTTTTCTTTTTTCTTTTTGAGATCCACTCTGTCACCCAGGCAGAAGTGCAGTGGTGAAATCTTGGCTCACTGCAACTTCTGCCTTCTGGGTTCAAGAAATTCTCTGCCTCCGCCTCTTGAGTAGTTGGAATTACAGGCATGTGCCACCATGCCCAGCTAATTCTTTTGTGTGTTTTTGGTAGAGGCGGGGTTTCACTATGTTGGCCGGGCTGGTCTCAAACTCCTAGCCTCAGGTGATCCACCCGCCTTGGCTTCACAAAGTGCTGGGATTACAAGCAGGAGCCACCATGCCCGGCCTCCAAACCATTTTAATCTGGACCTGCGGATCCCTAGTTCTCCTACACAGCAACCTCCTGGGATTTTCATTCTCCTCACTCTTTGGAGGATCCCACATCTTTATCTCTCCTGATCTAATCCCTTACTTTGATGGAACTTCCTAAGGAAAGGGGCAAGGGAGGGCAATTTTTGAAATTTTGTCTGAAAATGTCTTTTATATTATGATTACATCTGATTAATAGTTTTACTGAAAATAAAATTCCAAGTTGTAAAATTTACACCTAAATTAGGAAAGCACTGCTCCACTATCTTCCAGCTTCCAGTGCTACTGTTGAAAAGTCCTCAGCTAGGTGTTATGGTGCGCACCTGTAATACCAGCACTTTGGGAAGCCAAAGTGGGAGGATTGCTTGAGCCCAGGAGTTCAAGACCAGCCTGGGCAACGTAGTAAGATTTCGTCTCTACAAAAAATAAAATTAAATTTAAAAATTAGCTGGGCATGGTGGTACGTGTCTGTAGTTTTCAGAAGGCTGAGAGGGGACGATCCCTTGAGCCCAGGAGTTCAAGGCTGCAGTGATCCATGATTGTATCACTACGCTCCAGCCTGGGTGACAGAGTGAGATCCTGTCTCAAAAAAAAAAAAAAAAAAAAAAAAAAAAAAAAAAAAAAAAAAAAAGGAAAAGAGAAAGAAAAAAAAAAAGAGAAAGCCCTATACCATTTGAGTTTTGATCTTTTTTATGTGACCTGTTTTTTTCTTTTTGTCCAATTTTGGGATTTTTCTTTTTGTCCTCAGTATTTTTAAAATTATGGTACTATGCCTTGGATTTCATTCCTTTTGTTAGACACTTCTGTTAGACACTTGAGGTCTATCTCACTTTGGAACCATATCTCTCAGTTCTGAGAAAAGTTCTTGAATTATTTCTTTGATAATTTCATCCCTTCTGTTCCCTCTGTCTATTCTTTCTAGAAATCCTCCTATTCATCCAGATGATCTAATTTTCATATATTTTCTATACCATCTACATTTCTTTTCCTTTTTTTTTTCTTTTGAGATGGAGTCACCCAGGTTGGAGTGTAGTGGCACTATCTCGGCTCACTCCAACCTCCATCTCTCTCGGGTTCAAGCGATTCTCCTGCCTTAGCCTCCCAAGTAGCTGGGATTACAGGCGTATGCCACCACGCCTGGCTAATTTTTGTATTTTTAGTAGAGATGGGGTTTCACTATGTTGGCAAGGCTGGTCTCGAACTCCTAATCTCAAGTGATCCACCCACTTCCGCATCTCAAAGTGCTGGGATTACAGGCCTGAGCTACTGTGCCCGGTCCCATCTACATTTCTTTATCCTTTGCTTCTTTTTAGAAGATTTCTTCAACTTTAAATTTTTTATTTAATAATGTGTTCTTTTACCATGGAGAAAATATCGTCTCTTATGTTTATGAAAATATTAATTGCAGTGGATTTTATTGTTTGGCTCTTTGCATTCTCTAAATTTCCTCTTCTTCTTCTTCTTTTTTTTTTTTTTTGACAGGGTCTCTCTGTTGTGGTCCAGGGCAATGGCTTAATCACAGCTCAATGAAGCCTCGACCTCCCGGACTCAAGTGATCCTCCCATCTCAGCCTCCTGAGCAGCTGAGACTACAGGTGCACGCCACCGCGCCCGGCTAATTTTTGTACTTTTTGTAGACACAGAATCTCGCCATTTTGCTCAGGCTGTTCTTGAACTCTTGGGCTCAAGCGATCCGCCCAGCTTGGCTTGCGAAGGCACTGAGATTACAGGCGTGAGCCACCGCGCCTGGCTTTATATTCCTTAATTCTTGTGTTTTCAATACCTGTCTTTCATGTCAGTGGTTTTCATCCCATAATGACTAGTTTCTTATCAATGTATTGCCTCTCAACCGTAAATCCATCCTCTTAACTGATCTGTATTGAATTAAGCGGTTCTCCTTCGCAGCCAGCACAATATTAAGCTTTCTCAGTAGAGGGCGCCGGAGGGACACTGCCAGAGGAAAGAATTTCTTTTATCTCTGGTTCCGGGAGCTATGGTTTGTGATTCTTGTTGCTCCTGCGGCAGGGCCCATCAGTGGCCAGGTGGGAACATCCGGTGGTCTCTGTCCTAGCTGCGTGCTGACAGCATGCGTTCCCCCAGCGAGCTGGCCCTGACGTGGACCCTGCATGCCCCAGGCCTTGCATGCAGTGAGTGGGCTCCCGATGCCGCGACCCCCCCAGTTTCCTGCTTGCTCATGACTGTGCACAGGCTTTGGCCTGGGCATCCCAGGGAAATAATCTGGTACCTGGTGGGCACATGCACACTTTCTGCCTTGAGTTCTGAATCCAGCTTTGGGGTGGGGATGCTTCCACGTGTGTCCTTCTTTGGGTACTCTCCCGCGGCCCTACAGCATTCTTTGGAGTTCTCTGCACGTCTTTTTAGCCTGTTACAGCCAATAATTCTTTCTAATAATAAACTTTCTCTGCTCAAATTGGGGCTTGGGCTTTGTGAATGATACAGTAATCCTTGGCTTAGTTAGATCTTAAGCTGTTTGGAAACTCCAGGTGTGTGTGGTGGGGATGGGGGGAAGTTTCAGTGGGCTTCACCATAGTGCAAATGGGCTGAACTGTTTCTCCAGAAGACCCTTGTATTAGGGTCTAGTCAGGTGAAAGAAAAAAATCCAAATATTTAAACAGAGGTAATTTTGTTTTATTTTATTCTATTTGAAAAGGAATTTCACTCTGTTGCCCAGGCTGGAGTGCAGTGGCACAATCTCGGCTCACTGCAACCTCGGTCTCCCGGGTTCAAATGATTCTCCTGCCTCAGCCTCCCAAGTAGTGGGATTACAGGCACCTGCCACCACACCCAGCTAAGTTTTGTATTTTTAGTAGAGACAGGGTTTCACCATATTGGCCAGGCTGGTCTCAAACTCCTGACCTCAGGTGATCCACCTGCCTCGGCCTCCCAAAGTGCTGGGATTGCAAGCGTGAGCCTCCGCGCCCAGACAGAGGTAATTTTATATAAAGGATTGTTAACCACATATTGAGATCTAAAAAGACAAAAAGAGCACTGAGATACCGCAGAGGTAGAACGCGTGGGAATCAGGAATGGGGCAACTGCCTCTCCCTCAGTCTTGGGGAACTGAGGGAAGAGGTCAGTATTATTCAATGGGAGAATCTGGGAGGATGGCCCCACGGAGCTAGAACTCAGTTTCCTAAGGAGGAGCCTGGCCAGTGAGCTGGTATCACTGAGGCCACGGGAAGAGGCCTTTGCCGGGAGTGAGGAAGAACCACAGTTTGGGACTTGCTACTGCTGCTGGACCAGCTGTTGCTACAGGGCTGAAGATCCTCGGCTGTGGTGATGCCGGCAGGATTGGGAGGCCAACAAGGGAAGGGATCCCTTCTTCCTCCAGTGCTGACACCTCCCTCTACACCTAAGAGGGAGCCAGCTGGGAAGGAGAGAGTGGAAGAGGGTTTTGAAGTCAAGTGACAGTAGCTTAATATCCGTCAGAACCCCCTTACTCCTGTGTTCCTAGGTGTTTTTCCTTGTCTGGTCAGTTTCTCCAGAGAAGGTTTCTCTATTAATCGGCCTGGGGCAAGTCTGGCTGCTGGAGTTCTCAGAACCAACTTCATGGAGGGGACCAGGAAGCCTTACTGTTCGATAGGCAGGCTTTTACATAATCCTAAATGACTTTTTCTTTTCTTTTATTGCTTCTCTTATTTTATTTCTTTTATTATTACTTATTTTCTATTTTTTAAATTATTTTATTTTGTTTTCTTCTGGCCACATAAAGCCAGAAGGCCATAGGCTATATATATATATAGGTAATTTTTTTTTTTTGGTAGAGCTGGGGATCTTGCTCTGTTGCCTAGGCTGGTCTTGAATTTCTGGACTCAAGTGATCCTCCTGCCTTGGCCTCCCAAAGTGCTAGGATTATAAGCATGAGCTATCACGCCCAGCCTTAAATGATTTTCATTGTGGTTCCCAGGATGTGGCATGGTTCAACGCCTCCAGCGAGCAAACCACTCATTAGGGTGGAATATAGGGGGTCACTCTGCCATGTGCGTTGAGTTAGGAGATCTAGGGTTCTAGTGGCTTCTTACATAGACCATCAGCCTCTGGTTCCAGGCCTCTTGCACACTCACGTTTGGGATACTTCGTTTCTCCATTCCTTACTGGGGTTCTGCTATGTGAAATCAGCCTGCTTCTGGGATTCTCCCACTGACATTTTACCTTTAAATTTCTCTTATCTGCTAAGACCTTTGTCTATTTGTTATCCAGATCATTATTCTCTATTTATTTAGATTGTGTAGTCAGTTTCTCTCTCTCTCTCTCTCTCTCTCTCTCTCTCTCTCTCTCTCCTCTCCTCCCGCTTTTGTTCTTGTCAGTCCTTGCCTTTTAAAACCCCTTTATCACATTTTGGTGGGATTTCTGCTGGGAGCAGAGATGGTTGTGTTCAATCAGCTACATAAAGCCTGAAGGCCCGGCCAGGCACAGTGGCTCAGGCCTGTAATCCCAGCACTTTGGGAGGCCAAGGTGGGCGGATCATCTGAGGTTAGGAGTTCAAGACCAGCCTAACCAACATGGAGAAACCCCGTCTATACTAAAAAAAAAAAAACAAAAAACTTAGCCAGCCATAGTGGTGCATGCCTGTAATCCCAGCTACTCAGGAAGGCTGAGGCAGGAGAATCACTTGAACCCAGGAGGTGGAGGTTGTGGTGAGCCAAGATCCTGCCACTGTACTCCAGCCTGGGAACCAAGAGCAAAACTCAGACTCAAAAAAAAAAAAAAAAAAAGCCCGAAGTCCCAGTTGAATTTGTGGTGTAGATGTGGTGGGTGGGCTCTGGGTACCCAGCGCAGCTTAGCTGGCAGTATGTAGAAGTGAATATCAGGAAGTCTTTCTTTTCATTTCCCTCTGTTTTCTCTGGCTTGCCTCTGCCCAGGTGGCAATGGGGCCTCTGCTTCAGTGTATGCCTCAATGTATTTCCAACAAGATCCTTTCTTACGGAGACGGAGATGAGACAGCCCAGAAATCTGACTGATATGCCATGCTGTGGAGAGATCTTCCGGGAACAAGAGGGAGTTTGCAGTTCTCATTCTATTTTTGCTGGCCTCTAATGATCAGAAGCAAAGCAGAGCCAAAACAAATAGGCTAATTTACATTCCCTGCTATTAATGCTCATAAAATGCTGCATTTTTATATTGCTGCTCAAAGCACAGACTGCAGAAAGAGTATTGAGGTGGTTCTGACAGCAATCTTAAGAACTGCAGAGAGACTCTCTTACTCAATAATTTTCTCCTTCTTTTAAAAATAAGGCTGGACATGGTGGCTCACATCTGTAATACCGGCACTTTGGGACACCGAGGTGGGAGGATAACTTGAGTCCAGGAGTTCAAGACCAGCCTGAGCAACATAGTAAGACCCCCATCTCTACAAAAAATACAAAAATTAGCCAGGTGTGGTGGCTCACACCTGTAGTCCCAGCTGCTTGGGAGGCTAAAGTAGGAGGATCACCTCAGCCCAGGGAAGTTGAGGTTGCGATAAGCCATGATTGCACCACTGCACTCTAGTCTGGACAACAGAATGAGACCCTGTCTCAAAAAAATAAATAAATAAAAATAAATAAATTAAATAACATTGGCTGGACATGGTGGCTCACGCCTGTAATCCCAGCACTTTGGGAGGCCAAGGCAGGAGGGCTTGAGTCCAGGAGTTTGCAACCAGCCTGGACAACGTAGTGAGATCTCCATCTCTACAAAAAGCGAACAAAATTAGCCAGGCATGGTGGCGTGTTCTTGTAGCCCCAGCTACTCAGGGAGGTGAGGTGGGAGGATTGCCTGAGCCTGGGAGGCTGAGGCTGCAATGAGCCGAGATCGCACCACTGCCCTCCACCCTGGGCAACAGAGCGAGATCCTGTCTCAAAAAGGAAAAAAAAAATTATCAGGTTTGAAATAAAATATACATAATATAAGAAAACAAAAGTAATTTCTAACCCCAATAAATAAAGATAGAAGACATTGTTAACATTTTGGTATATTTTCTTCTTCTGTTTTTTTTTGTTGTTGTTTTTGTCTTATTTTATTTAGAGATGGTCTCCCTCTGTTGCCCAGGCTGGGGTGCAGTGGTGCAATCAGCTGACTGTGACCTTGAACTCCTGGGCTCAACTGATCCTCTGACTCAGCCCCCCAAGTAGCCAGGACTACAGGCATGTGCCATCACATCTAGCTTTTTTTTTTTTTTCTGAAATAAGAATGGGTTATATTTTGCTGTAACAACATGGGGTTAGGGACCAGGCCTGCGTAGTTGTAGTCATGCTTTATGATATGGCTGGTGACTCAGTTAACTGCTGGTTCATGAGCTGGAGCAATCCCAAAATGGTTTTCTAAAGGATGCCTGGCCCTGGTGTTTCCACACTGGCTCCTGTGGAGCATCTCTAAGCAGAGGCTGCATGGTGTTCTGTCCAGGTGGGAGCACAGGCTGAGTGACTCAGTTTTCATGAGGCAATGTATACCTGTTGCCTGCCCAAATGAGTTCTTAACAAATGGTAATGAGACTGGCCACCGTGGCTCACGACTGTAATCCCAGCACTTTGGGAGGCTGAGGCTGGCGGATCACTTGAGGTCAGGAGTTGGAGATCAACCTGGCCGACATGGTGAATCCCCGTCTCTACTAAAAATACAAAAAATTAGCTGGGCGTGGCGGGTGACTGGAGTCCCAGATGCTTGAGAGTCTGAGGCAGGAGAATCACTTGAACCCGGGAGCCGGAGGTTGCAGTGAGCCGAGATGGCGCCACTGCACTCCAGCCTGGGCAACAGAGTGAGACTCCATCTCAAAAAAAAAAAAAAAGAAATAAACAAAGCAGATATACAGTAGTCCCTTGGTATATGAGGGGGATTGGTTCCAAGACTCCTGTGTATACCAAAACCTACACATATTCAAGTTCCACAGTCAGCCCTTTGGGTCCCAAATATATGTAAAGTTGGCCCTTTGTATACATGGGTTTCACATGTCACCATTACTGTGTTTGTGATCTGCATTTGATTGAAAATAACCCATGCATAAGTGGACCTAAGTGGACCTATGCAGTTCAAATCCATGTTGCTCAAGGGTCAACTATATGGACATTAAATTAAGCAAGACATAACCTGGGATGTTAAAGCATGAGCAATAAATTAAAACTCAAAGAAATGACAGAAACCATTAGAGAAAATCAAATGAAGTATTGCTAAAAAATTTTAGGCAATTTTAACAAAACAGGAAAAACTTTATCAAGTTGATTTTTGCAAAGAAACTGGAACATGAGCTCCCTCCACTCACGTGTCTGTGCCCCTCAGAAGGGCGGTCCTGAGGAGCCAGCACATAGCCCAGGACTGACGTTAATGCCCTCAGGCAGGCTCCCACTGCCTCCTCTGCGCCTGCCTTCTCTCACTTTCTAGAATCCCAGTCTTAAAACTCTGTTTGATGTTTAGCAAAGGAAGACATATTCAGACATGCATAATAATGGTAGAAGACAGAGGTGAGGAATGCTGTGAAAGGTGTCCAAGGGGCCATGGAGAGCCCTGGGACTCTGGGGCTACCCCAAGGAGGCTGTGTTTTAAAATGTGTTTACACAGGCCTTTTCCATCATAAGTACATCTTTATTATTTTATGTATTTTGGAAAACACAGAAAAGTATTTCAAAAACAAATCCTAAAGTAGTAAGCCTTAGATCATTGTGAAAGTTAATTTTTAAAAATATTTATTAAATTTAATGAATTAATTAATTTTTTGAGGCATGGTCTTACTCTGTCACTCGGGCTGGAGTGCAGTGGCACAATCACGGCTCACTGCAGCCTCAACTTCTCAGGCTCAAGAGATCCTCCCACCTCAGCCTCCCGAGCAGCTGGGACCACAGGCACTCGCCACCATGCCTAGCTAATTTTTTCTCGTTGTTTTTTGTAGGGACAGAGTCTCACTATATTCCCCAGGCTGGTCTTGAACTCCTGGGCTCAAGCAATCCACCCATCTAAACCTCCCAAAGTGCTGAGATTACAGGGATGAGCTGCTGTGCCCAGCCAAAGGTTAATTTCATGTGTCAGTATGCTTAAGCCATGGTACCCAAATATTTGGTCAAACATTATTCTAGATGTTTCTACTAAGGTATTTTGTAGATGAAATCAACATTTAAATGGATGGACTTTGAATAAAGCAAATTACCCTCCCGTATGTGAGTGGGTCTGACATCCCCCAAGGAAGAGGGAATTCTGCCTCCAGGTTGCCTTTAGGCCTGAACTGTGACATTAACTTTTGTCTCCAAGCCTGCCAGTTTTCCCTGCAAATTTTGGACTTGCCAATCTCCACAATCGTGTGAGCCAATTCCTTAAAATCTCTCTCTCACCTATATGAGCTCCTTTGAGTGTGTCTTCTCATCTATATGAGAGAGAGAGAGAGACAGAGAGAGAGAGGTTTTAGTTCTGTTTCTCTGGAGAACCCTAATACAGTTATGGTTTCATTTTAAAACATTTTTTTCTAGTCTTTTCTTTATACCTAGGTGGTTGTTGTTGTTTAGGTTTTTGTTTTTGTTCTTTTTGAGGGGTTGTATTTTATTGTCACCAATTACATATATAATTGTGTGTTCCTTAATTCCTTATATTTATTTATTTATTTATTTTTGAGACAGTCTAGTTCTGTCACCCAGGATGGAGTAAAGTGGCGTGATCTCTGTTCACTGCAACCTCTGCCTGCCGGGTTCAAGAGATTCTCGTGCCTCAGCCTCCCAAGTAGCTGGAATTACAGGCACCCACCAACCACGCCTGGCTAATTTTTGTATTTTTAGTAGAGATGGGGTTTCGCCATGACCTCAAGTGATCCGCCAGCCTCGGCCTCCCAAAGTGCTGGGATTACAGCATGAGCCACTGTGCCTGGCCTTTAATTCTTTTTAAATAAATTATTATGACACTATTGTCTTCTTTGTTAATATAAGTTTTAATAAAAGTCACTTAAGTGGCTCCCCAATGATGCACAAAGTACATAGTCTATAATTTATAGTTTTTCCTGCTAAATGTTTCTGCTGCTTCCAATATTTTGTTAAGATAGTAAACTGTAATGCACTTTTTTTGTTTATAAAGCTTTTTACACAATTGAGAATTGGATAGATTCCCAGAAATGAGATGACTGCATTGAAGTCACAGGCTAAGAGACACAAAGAGAACAGCAGCGACCCGCAGCAAGCTGGGCCAGAGGCTCCAGAGACTGCTGTCGAGGCCTGCTGGGGAGGAAGCCATGTCCAGTGGGGGGGCCACGAGTGGGCACAGAATCCACCCTCAGCTCCCACAGCTGCCCTCAGCCTCATGTTTAATCAGGCTCCACTAAAGACCTAGGGATAACAGAAGAGAATTCCAGGTACACTTAAAACTGGAAATGAGACATGGTGCTTTCAGATTTCAGAGGCCCACGCCCCTCCCTGTATGCACTTCCTACAGGAGGCTTCTCTGCCTCACCTTTAGCACGCTCTGAGTTTTGGGGGCCAGCATAACTCCCCAAGATAGGTGGCTCCCTTGAGTGTGCCTTCACTATGCAAAATACAGGCTCCCAACTCTGTTCTTGTTCTGGTTCAAAGACAGCAGGAAGTTTCCCCACTCAATCCAGCTTGCGGCCCACCTACCTACCAGTACCTGTGTTCTTTAGGATGATTTAAAGTGAGAATGAGCTACTCTCTGGAGGAGAAACATCCCAACCTATGGCCTGTGACCTCAGTGCCTTATGACCTGTGAGAGAGACTACATGTCCAGCAGAAATATACATGTATTTCTCTGTGAGAGAGACTACATGTCCACAGAAAGCGAGCTCCGTGTAATTTACAAAGTTCTAGTAGTCACATCAAAAAGGTAAAAAACAACAGGTGAAATTAATTCTAATAGTAAATTTTATTTAACACAGCATATCCAAAATATTGTGATTTTGACAAGTAATAAACATAAAAATTATTAGTGAGATATTTTACTGTTTTTGTACTAAGTCTTTGAAATCTCATGTGTGTCTTGCACTTAAGAGCACATTTGTATTTGGACTAGCCACACTTCATGTGCTCAGTTGCTACATGTGGCTAATGGCTACCATGTAGGACAGCACAGACTTACTGCACAGCTTACCTGAGGAGATCCTAGCAATAAATACTTGTCTTGCATCGCATGTGTCTCAAGAATAAGTTATTATTATTAATTAGTTTTTTTTCCTTGAGACGGAGTCTTGCTCTTGTAGCCCAGGCTGGAGTGCAGTGGCATGATCTTGGCTCACTGTAACCTCTGTCTCGTGGGTTCAAGTGATTCTCCTGCCTCAGCCTCCCAAGTGGCTGAGATTACAGGTGCACACCACCACGCCTGGCTAATTTTTGTATTTTTAATAGAGATGGGGTTTCACCACTTTGGCCAGGCTGATCTCAAACTCCTGCCCTCGGGTGATCTGCCCTCCGCCCGCCTCCTCGGCCTCCCAAAGTGCTGGGATTACAGGCGTGAGCCACTGCGCCCAGCCAAGAATACGTTATTTAGTCTTGAATTACAGATTTCATTGAACATCTACAGATCAGTCTATGACGTCCTTAACTTGCTCAGTGGAGCCAGTTTTCCCCATTCCAAGATGAAAATATGGACAGTACTAAGACTGTTCTGATCTCTCTTAGGTCCTGTAGTTATTTTATATTACCAAACACAATGCCAATTCAGAAACTCAACGTTTAGTTCCAAAGGTAAGTCTCCTTTCCTCCAGCAAGGGCTTTGCAAGGATGGGAAGATGAGAAATAGGGAAACAGGTCTTCAACATTATGCATCTATCCTTCTTCTCCTGTCTTGCTAATGGTGGTTTCTAACCCTCCAAGGTTGAGTAGAATGGGGAAGGGTTGGGGGAAGGAGTGGTCTGGGGCGTGGAGCAGGCACGGTTTGCAAGAGGGCTTTGCATTCTCTGGGACTGGTAGGTGCTTACAGGGGATTCCTCCTCCTTGGGTGCTTCTTCCGAGACCCCTCACCCCTAATGCCATACAGTTGCAAATGAGGATTTCTTTCCACGATTTATTCCTCCCACAGCTCATAGGAATGCAGTAATCACTTCAGCTTCTCTCTGCTGAGGCCTGTTGATGCCTGTAGGTGGCCACATCAGACAGGATTAGCTCAGCTCCACATCAGCTCACTTCCTAGCATGCCTCACACTAGTCTGCTGGAAATACTTACACAGCCTTGCCCTGAAAACCTGGGATACAGGTCCCCAGTGCCTCCTCCTTTCCTACACTCCCACTCCCAGGGCAGAAAACCAGCCTGTCTCCTACCATGAGGTCTGCAGACAAATGTCAGATGCCAGCCCATTGCAGTCTGTCCACTGGGGAGGGGGAAGCTTTATGCAGGACAATAGGAAAAAAGAGTGAAACTATTCTGAATTAGATGTTTATATACATAAAATGATATTGCTTGACACCTGAAGGGAACAAGAAAAACTCTGGAGCTTTCTTGATCTAGTGACATGAAAGAAAGATGAGGTCCATGTGCTGTGGCTCATGCCTGTAATCCCAGCACTTTGGGAGGCTGAGGCTGGAAGATACCTTGAGTCCAGGAGTTCAAGGCCAGCCTGGGCAACATGGTGAGACCTAATCTTTATTGAAAAAATAAAAATAAAACGTAGCAGGGCATGGTGGTGCATGCCTATGATCCCAGCTATTTGGGAAGCTGAGGTGGGAAGATTACTTGAGCCAGTGAGATTAAGGCTTCTATGAGCCATGATCATGCCACTGCATTCCAGCAAATTAAAAAAACTTAAAAAAAAATTTTTTTAGGCTTGACTTGAAACTCAGAGACCTTGAAAAAGAAAGAAAAAGAAGAAGAAAGAAGGAAAGAAAGAAAGAAAGAAAGAAAGAAAGAAAGAAAGAAAGAAAGAAAGAAAGAAAAAAAGAAAGAAAGAAAAGATGGGACCATTGGTCGCCATGGACACTGTTTCCACAGCTACTTTGCTATTTTGATTGTCATTGCGTATTGTTTGAAGGACTCTGCTATGAGAAAAATATAACTATTTCTCAATTTAACCGTGATAGACTATAAGTAGATAAAATAAGGTTGAGACAGATTAAATAAACTATTAAGGGGAAGAACTAGACTAGAACCCAGGTTTTCTGGCTTCTTATCTGGTGTCTGTTTTCACTCTGAAACTCACTTAGGGTCACGGACTCACTGACTCACAGATTCAGTGTGACAAAGATAATCAGAAACCAAGTCACTGTAACAAAAGCCCCCTAAAGACAGGACACCAGCTCACTGCTGTATCCTCAGTGTTGACGTCAGTGTGCTTGTCCAATAATCCACACTTAATAAATGTGAGTAGAATGAGTGAATTAATTAATTAATGGTTTAGTTGTTTAGTTTGTAAGTGAGGGAACAAGTATCTGAAAATGTTAAATGAATCACTGAAAGTCATTTATATATATGTGTGTGTGTATATATATACATATATATATATTTTTTTTTAAATACAGAGTCTTGCTATGTTATCCGAGCTGGTCTCCAACTCCTGAGCTCAAGCAAACCACTCGCCTCGGCCTCCCAAAGTGCTGGGATTACAGGTGTGAGCCACCTCACCCTGTAATATAATATAAATGCCGAAAGTCATTTATATTTTATAGGTTGTAAGACATATATTTATTTTCCCATTTATCATCTCTTGAATAGGGATGCGTCTTACAATCAATGGCGTGTCATAGTTTAACCCGCTGTGTTTTCCTCTTAGTGCTGCATGAAATAATGGTATGTTTTCCGGCAACGGAGCTTTAGATGCAATGAGGAGCAGCAGTTGTTTGTGGACATACGTTGTGTCTCATGTCAGTGAGTGCAAGGAAAGGGGGAGGTGGGGGTGACCCCGTGGGATGCAAAACAAGTCAACTTCTCCAGGCCCTCAGAAGTGGCGCTCAATCTCCAGAGAGGCGCCCATCTCGCAGAGGGCCACTACCCGGTCATTGCCACTAGGGGGCTTACCAGACATTTCATCAGGAAGACACAGGCAGTCCTTGGGCCTCTCTTCCGACCAGGCCATTTGTTGCCATGGATATTGTTTCCATAGTTGCTTTGACTGTCACTGCATTTCCCCTGATTATCTGTTTTTGCATGCTGAATATATACTATAATCCAATCTTCATCCTCATCAATTTAACAATTTTATCATATCTAGATTTTTCAAATGGCCAGTTTTCATCAATTGTGACGTTCATGGCATTTGACTTTGTTAGTGAGTTCTGCTTTTGCAGCCCCTGTGTTCCAGTATACAATACTGCATTATACCTCAGCTCACTTCACAAATTGGGTATCCACTGCAAGCAACTAAGCACAAGTAGTGAATACTAATCCAAATGAAAGAATGGGTCTGTTGTGGTGTTAGCGCAAGAGAAAATTCCTCTGCTCCATGGTGCATTAGTAGTAGCTCATTTTGCTTGCTGCCCCATTTGATTACATTGTTGGTGGTAAATATCACTGCTGAAAGTTCCATGAATTTCTTAAAGGTCTCCAAAGAAGATGTGGAACATTGAAGCATTTCACAACATTTGCATGTACATGACAGCAATATTCATTCGCTTCTGCCAGGCACCTTGAAGGCAAAAGCTATTTACATGGCTCTCCACTGTGTTCTCATAGCCATGCACAGGCTTATATGTCCTCTGCAAAGATGTGATAGATGATCAAAGGAAACATCCAGTCTCCTCCCTCTCCCTCTCCCTCCCCCTCCTCCTCCCTCTCCTCCCCCTCCCCCTCTCCCTCTCCCTCTCCTCCCTCTCCCTCTCCTCCCTCTCCCTCTCCTCCCTCTCCCTCTCCTCCCTCTCCCTCTCCCTCTCCCCACGGTCTCCCTCTCCCCCTCCCTCTCCCCCTCCCTCTCCCTCTCCCTCTCCCCACGGTCTCCCTCTCCCCCTCCCTCTCCCCACGGTCTCCCTCTCCCTTTCCCCACTGTCTCCCTCTCCCTCTCCCTCTCCCTCTCTCTCCACGGTCTCCCTCTGATGCCGAGCCGAAGCTGGACTGTACTGCCACCATCTCAGCTCACTGCAACCTCCCTGCCTGATTCTCCTGTCTCAGCCTGCCCAGTGCCTGGGATTGCAGGCGCGCGCCACCACGCCTGATTGGTTTTCGTATTTTTTTGGTGGAGACGGGGTTTCGCTGTGTTGGCCAGGCTGGTCTCCAGCTCCTAACCGCGAGTGATCTGCCAGCCTCGGCCTCCCGAGGTGCTGGGATTGCAGACAGAGTCTCAATCACTCAGTGCTCAATGTTGCCCAGGCTGGAGTGCAGTGGCGTGATCTCGGCTGGCTACAACCTCCACCTTCCAGCCGCCTGCCTTGGCCTCCCAAAGTGCCGAGATTGCAGCCTCTGCCCGGCCGCCACCCCGTCTGGGAAGTGAGGAGCGTCTCTGCCTGGCCGCCCATCGTCTGAGATGTGGGGAGCGCCTCTGCCCCACCGCCCAGTCTGGGAAGTGAGGAGCGCCTCTTCCCGGCCGCCATCCCGTCTAGGAAGTGAGGAGCATCTCTGCCGGGCCGCCCATCGTCTGAGATGTGGGGAGCGCCTCTGCCCTGCCGCCCCGTCTGGGATGTGAGGAGCGCCTCTGCCCAGCCGCGACCCCGTCTGGGAGGTGAGGAGCGTCTCTGCCTGGCTGCCCCGTCTGAGAAGTGAAGAGCCCCTCCGCCCGGCAGCCGCCCCGTCTGGGAAGTGAGGAGCATCTCCGCCCGGCAGCCGCCCCGTCAGGGAGGGAGGTGGGGGGGCAGCCCCCGCCCGGCCAGCCACCCCGTCCGGGAGGTGAGGGGCACCTCCGCCCGGCAGCCCCGACTGGGAAGTGAGGAGCCCCTCTGCCCGGCAGCCACCCCGTCTGGGAGGTGTACCCAACAGCTCATTGAGAACCGGCCATGATGACGATGGCGGTTTTGTCGAATAGAAAGGGGGAAATGTGGGGAAAAGATAGAGAAATCAGATTGTTGCTGTGTCTGTGTAGAGGGAAGTAGACGTAGGAGACTCCATTTTGTTCTGTACTAAGAAAAATTCTTCTGCCTTGGGATGCTGTTAATCTATAACCTTACCCCCAACCCCCTGCTCTCTGAAACATGTGCTGTGTCCACTCAGGGTTAAATGGATTAAGGGCGGTGCACCATGTGCTTTGTTAAACAGATGCTTGAAGGCAGCATCTTCATTAAGAGTCATCACCGCTCCCTAATCTCAAGTACCCAGGGACACAAACACTGCGGAAGGCCGCAGGGTCCTCTGCCTAGGAAAACCAGAGACCCTTGTTCACTTGTTTATCTGCTGACCTTCCCTCCACTATTGTCCTATGACCCTGCCAAATCCCCCTCTGTGAGAAACACCCAAGAATGATCAATAAATACTAAAAAAAAAAAAAAAGAAAAAGAAAAAGGAAACATCCATGCCACCTCCTTTCATGGGTAGAAGGTAGAAGCTGAAAAAGTCTTCTGGGTATGGAAACTCACGAATACCTCGAGGCCAACTTGGTTCAGGGCTGCTGCCTAAAAAACTCTGGGTGAGGTCCTGAGTTGAAAACAAAACATCTCTGCTTGTGTTCAATTTTCAAATTCTTTTGAGGGTGAGGCCTGAGAAGTCGCAAACATCTTAAAAAGCAGAACTCACTAGTAAAGGCAAATAAATGCCATAAATGTCACAATTGATGACACGTTCCCTACCATCCATCACACACACAAGAATGTTTTTTCTGTGTATCCACGACTTGTTTTCAGACTGGGGGCTCCTCAAGAATAGGGACTGTGTCTGGTTTTTCTTGCTTGGCTCAAAACCCAATACAGATTGGAGGAAAGATCCGAGAGCCTGCCATTGCAAGCCTAAAGAAGAGAAGACTGAAGGATAAAAGTGTTCATACCTGTGAGTGATTTTTGTAGAGACAGTGCAGAACAGTTCATCACTTGAGATTCAGTCCAAATGAGATAAAAAGTGAGTAATCCTGGAGCCAGGAAACCTGAGTTTAACTCCCTCACCCCCCACCCCTCCCTGCCACTTACCGTTAAGGAGGTTTGGGGACAATTTATTTAACTTCTCTGAACTTCAGTCTTTGCATTTCTAAGACAGGATGGTTCTCCTACCTCACAGAGGTGATGTGAAGATCAAAAGAATCCACATATGTGACAGCAGCTCAAAGTGCCCCACAAATATGTCACAAGTCTCCGGTCAGTTACCCTATCCCTTGGGAAGCTTTCCAGGATCTGCACAGGCTGAATGAGATCCCTTCTCTGGACTCTGCCCAAAAGCATTCCTTTATTGTAGCACTTAGCATGTTGCACTGTAATTGCTGGTTTTCTTGTCCTTGAGGGTAAGAACTATGTCATTCACTTCTGTTGGTTGGCTGCCTCTGTTCCCAAAAGAATTCCCAGCACCATACTAGACAGTTACTAAAGGAATCCTAGGCCAGGTGCAGTGGCTCATACCTGTAATCCCAGCACTCTGGGAGGCCAAGGTGGGTGGATCACAAGGTCAGGAGTTCGAGATCAGCCTGGCCATCATAGTGAAACCCTGTCTCTACTAAAAATACAAAAATTAGCCGGGTGTGGTGGCACGCGCCTGTAGTCCCAGCTACTCAGGAGGCTGAGGCAGGCGAATTGCTTGAGCCTGGGAGGCGGAGGTTGCAGTGAGCTGAGACCACACCATTGCAATCCAGCCTGGGTGACAGAGTGAGACTCTGTCTCAAAAAAAAAAAAAAGGAATCCTAATTTCCTTGTGTTTACAAATAAGACCAAAACAGAAGAAATAGCACCAAAAGAAAGCATACATTTATTCGTTTATTCCAAAATGTGTATTTCATCCCATCTAAGATGACATTGAATGCAAGATGCAGCATTACTTATGCCCCACTAAGGAAGAAAGAGTGCTACTGACTGGTTCATGATGTGCTATCAAGTGTAAGACACTTTTCCATTTTTAAACGTTTCTTGGTTTTTTTTTTTAGGCAGTGTCTTGCGATGTTGCCCAGGCAGGTCTCTAACTCCTAGCTCTGGGCAATCCTCCCACCTTGTCCTCCAAAAGTCCTGGGATTACAGGCCTGAACCACTGCAGCCAGTGGACATCTCCATTTTATTTTTATTATTATTTTTTTAAGACAGCATCTCACTCTGTCACCCAGGCTGGAGTGCAGTGGTGCAATCTCGGCTCACTGCAACCTCCACCTCCCAGGTTCAAGTGATTCTCCTGCCTCAGCCTCCTGAGTAGCTGGGACTACAGGTGTGTGCCACCAGCGCCCAGCTAATTTTTGTATTTTTAGTAGAGACGGGGTTTCACTATGTTGGTCAGGCTGGTCTCCAACTCCTGACGTCAAGTGATCCACCTGCCTCAGCCTCCCAAAGTGCTGGGGTTACAGGTGTGAGCCACTATGCCCATCCGACATCTCCATTTTAGATTATGATCCAATGGGGAAGATGTGCATCAGAGGCTCAATGAAGCATATGATTATTAAATATCTAATCTATCTCATATATTGTCCTCAAAACCCCTATTCTCAAGGAACTGACATTCTAGTGGAAGGAGACAGACATAAAACAAATAAGTTAACACGTAAATAAGCATAAGTTCAGATTGTCGTCAGCTCCATAAAGAAAATAAATATGGTAATCTGTAGAGACTGAAGAGAGGGGTTTGTTTTAGATGAATCACAAGAAAGGTCCTGAATAGATCTGAAAAATAACTACGTGTTTTCTAAGGTGTCAAACAATACCTCGTTAAGGGAGAGTGTTGAATCACTGTTGCTTCACCAAACATTCTTGTTTAGAAAGACAGGGGACTGGACCAGAGTGTGCATTCGCAGACGTTTTAATGAGAGGTGACACTCCCCAAAAGGCATAAATCCTGTTCAGGCATAATCTAGAGGGGTGTGCTTACTTGCCTGGTGTCCTCAATCTGGACTTGTGCAAGTTGGGTTCAGCTGGACCTGGTATGACTCCTTGATGACACCTGAAGAGGTCCTTTAAACACTGGACTTCATAAAGAGAAAAGGAGGATTAGCTGTATGATTAACTGTATGCATTTACCAAAGGCATGGAATGCACAGATATGTGCGACAACTTACAAGTGTCATCTGAGTATGAGTATATTATGGTTTGAGAGTCAACTACCAAATCTTGTAGTTCAGGTCCCAGGAGTGGTTAGAAAGGTATTTCCCTTATTCATTGAGGCTTCATTTTTTTTTTCTTCCCTTCTGGGTGTTCTGCAGCATCTTCTCCTTGTCTTTTCTACCTTCAATACTCTCCAGAGACCAGATCTTCATGTATATCTCTCTGGGCTCTCAAATGCCAAAACCATACTCTCCTTCACGGTAGCACCCTGAGGGGGTGGACTTATTCTGGAGAAAGCTACGTGGCAAGTTGAAGGAGACTGACTGGGCAAAGCCCCTGTGCCTCTGGCAGAACTGCTGCCACAAAGGGATATGCGTATCCTGGGAATAATTAGTACAGGCCAGTTGCTACTGACTTTAAGGATGTTCCTTATGCTTCAATCCTATGTACAACTCTGGGATCTTTGGAGAGCAGCAAAAAGACTGAGATTGAATTTCCCTCTAATCTGACAGGAGCAGAAATTAACATTTTCTTTCTTTTATTTTTCTCTTCGAGACAAGGTCTCTCTCTGTTGCCCAAGATGGAGGGCAGTGACATGATCACAGCTCACTGCTGCCTCGACCTCCTGGGCTCAAGCAATCCTCTCACCTCAGCCTCCCAAGTAGCTGGGACTACAGGCATACACTACCATACCCAGCTAATTTTTAATTTTTTTTGTAGAGACGAGGTCTCACTATGTTGCCCAGGCTGGTCTTGAACTCCAGGCCTCAAGCAATCCTCCTGCCTCAGCCTCCCAAAGTGTTGGGATTACAAGCGTGAGCCACTGTGCCCAGCCTTTTTCTTTCTTTCTTTCTTTTTTTCTTTTTTTTGAGACAGGATCTTGCTCTGTCGCCCGGGCTGGAGTACAGTGGCACAGTCATGGCTCACTGCAGCCTCCACCTCCTGGGCTCAAGCGAGCCTCTTGCCTTAGCCTCCCAAGTATCTGAGCCTACAGGCATGTGCCACCACACTCGGCTAATTTTTTTTTATTTTTAGTAGAGACAAGGTCTCACCATGTTGCCCAGGCTGGTGCAGATCTTCTGAGCTCAAGTGATCTTCCTACCTCGGTCTGCCAAAGTGCTGCGATTACAGGTGTGTCATCCTGCCTGGCCAGAAATTAACTTGATTGAAAGAAAAGAAAAGCTTTTGATATGCTAGCGTTTTTGCATGCATGCTTTTGCATGCTAAAGTTTCTATGCCATTTACAGAGATTTCATGGTCTCTTCAATTGCTCTAAGTTGTCCTTGAGGTGCAGAAACTCAAGCACACAGACTTCTCAGCTAGAATTTGTAGCTCTAGCAATTCCTTTGTTTATTGCACAAACCTAGCTTGTACCGAGACCAAAAGTTCTGCCCCCTTGAAGACCAAGGCAGATTCTGGAATTCCTTGTGCTTGCCAATACCCTTTGACAAATGCCCAGCCCCAAACCCCAGCCTGAACTTCAGGAGGAAGATTTTATAGAAACACATTGGACTTTTCCTGCCTGTATATTAACCAAGAGACTCTTCTGTCACTCTTTTTTCCTGCAATAAACTGATATTCATGCCAGTATCTCTAATCACAAAATTCTCCCTTGGCCACTTGCTGCCTCCATGGGGGCAGAAGAGGGAGATCATTTTATTATTCTCCCATTCCCCACTATGTGTAGCTCCCACATTCTTAAAATCCTGAGCACTGTGTCTTCCCAAATGTGTCATGGAGATATTCGCAGAAGTCTGCATGTTCTAGATGATGTTTATGTGTCATATCAGTTAGGATCCCATTTAGCTGGAATCACAAGAAGCTCACCTCACTGAGCTCCGGCACACTGCTCATCTCATATACGAAATGTCCGAGAGGAGCAGCCCAGGGCTCAGTATTGCCATCGGGCACCCAAGTGATTTCTTCCCTCTGCTCCACTCTCAGCTTGAAGCCTTCACCCTGCTGTGGGTCTCCCCCTGACCTCAGCATTGCTGAGCCCCAGGTCTCATATCTGCATTCCAGGTAGGAAGAGGAACGAAGGGGAAGGGGCAAAGGGCTTTCTCCTCATGAGCTTTGGCCTTTTCATCTGGAAGGGACACCATCCCCAGGAACTTATGCCTATATCACATTGGCCAGAGCTGTATCTCCTCACTGCACTGGCTGCAAGGGGGACCGGGAAATTGGGGATTTGGGAAATGGTTTTCTTCAGCTGGGCACATTACCATCACCCCCAAAACTCAGGTTCTCCAAGTATAAGGGAAGGGGAGACTAGAGCTGTTTCTGTCACGTTTTCCTTCAGGTAATAATCTTGAAAATCCCCATAATATAAGCATTTCCTGGATTCTATTGATGACCAATATAAAACTAACATAAAGCTAATAGAAACGATTAGTCTTTACAATTGCACAGCCTAACAAGAGTAGAACGAGAACTGTCTTAAAATTTAAACGGTGCATTTGCATTAAGGGCCCAATAATCCCGCAGCTGACTGAGAGACTGAAGGTCTTGAGAGAGCTTGTACAGAGACGATCCATTAAAGAAGGAAAACATCAAGTGGCAAATGAGATTTGAGAAACTAGGTGTAGCAATCACTACAATATTAATGTTGGAGCGAAGAATTCTTCAGTAAAGAAATATCATGCATTACATTAAACTACTGCTGTTACTTCTAACGTTATTGGAACAGTAGAGCTATAAGCATAAGGAGTTTATACTTCATTTTCTGTTTCATATATATTTACGTTTAAGCCAACATGGCGAGTTCTCAAAAAATCTCTTTTCCAGCCGGGCACGGTGGCCCACACTGTAATCCCAGCACTTTGGGAGGCCAAGGCGGGTGGATCACCTGAGGTCAGGAGTTCAAGACCAGCCTGGGCAACATGGTGAAACTCCATCTCTACTAAAAATACAAAAATTAGCCAGGCATGGTGGTGCACGCCTGTAATCCCAGCTACTCGGAGGCTGAGGAAGGAGAATCGCTTGAACCCAGGAAGTGGAGGTTGCAGTGAGCCAAGATCGCACCACTGGACTCCAACCTGGGCAACAGAATGAGACTCTGTCTCAAAAATATATATGTATCTTTTCCTTTAAAGGTGTTTATCACATAAGTCTGAGAAATATTGGTTTAATATTTATTTAATCAATCCAATTTTTTCACTTTAGTATTTTAATTTATTATTCCGTGTTTCCGACTCTGTATCATAATACTACAATTCCATTATTTAACACTGGTGGTGATGCTGCTCATAGTGGCATCAGTAGTGAGCAAACAATAATCAACTGTCTTCACATATCTTTGATTCTTTGGTTTTTGTCCTGAGCTCCTCACAGAGCTGTTATATCCAATGCCCCGGCCTTGTCTGTGGTCTTAGCCATCATTCATAGGTGCATGAATATGGTGCATTTGCATTAAGTAAGGACAAATCTCTTCTTCTATCAGGCAGGGCTTTTCTCTTAGAGGTTAGGTCTGGACTTCGTGTCCTCATTTCACACCGCGATTGACTAAGATGAGACTCATTTATTTGCTACGGTGGCCAGTCCCACACAGGTGCTCATACATACTTGCTGAATGACCAGTTGACTACATCCTGTAAATGTGACCCTTTGGCCTGGGTGGTAGGAGAACGCGGGCATAGTCCTCTTAAGAGATAAGTTGTATCCTTCAGCTTACAGGTAGACTGAGATAGACAGACTGGGAGACGTAGAGTGTTGAGCTCATGCTAGGCACTGAATAAATATTTTGTTAAGGCCAGGTGCGGTGGCTCATGCCTGTAATCCTAGCACTTTGGGAGGCCAAGGCGGGTGGATCACCTGAGGTCAAGAGTTCGGGACCAGCCTGGCCAACATGGTGAAACCCTTGTCTCTACTATAAATACAAAAATTAGCCAGGCGTGGTGGCATGCACCTGTAATCCCAGCTACTAGGGAGGCTGAGGCAGGAGAATCACTTGCACCTGGGGGGCAGAGGTTGCAGTGAGCTGAGATCGCGCCACTTCACTCCAGCCTGGGCAAAAGAGCAAAACTTCGTCTCAAAAAAAAAATTTTTTTTTTTTTGGTTAAATGAATGAATGTAGAGATATGTCCCAGACAAAAACAGATAAAATTTGCTTTATTGATTTGATCAGACTTACCGAATATCTCTTATACCTGAGCTGTGTGTAATTCCTCAAAACCTGGTAGATAGGTAAAGGCGATTGCCCAGAGGAAGTAACCAAGGTCAGGCAGAATTAGGAGACACTCAGAGCAGATGGGCATCCTTCTGAGTGTCCTCCACATGCTTATTCCAGGGGCCAGCTGCCTTCCTCATGTGGTGGTCCCAGGGCTCCAGACTAGGGCGGAGGAGTGGAGGCCTGAGGATACACATCATGCTTCATAGTCTTGCAGAGGCGGATGAGGGGTCTCCTTTTTCTAGAACCAACTGTAGTCACTGCTGGGGTCCTCTTTATGGTGTACTGTAGTCCATGACATGGGGATGATAAATAACCCTGGTGGATGGATTTAATGGAGGCAGGAAACACTCTTTCTAGGGAGGAAGAAAATGGTTTGGTTTTAACACTCTGTTCTTCTCTTAACCCTGGTGGTTTGTAATTTATCACTTCTGCCCAGCCTGTTTCCCTGGCTCTGGGAGTCTGCTAGATGTCACTGTTTTCTTCAGATCCTGACACTGACTACTAGAGATCAATACTTGCCAAAAATGTGGACGACATTTAGGGGGAAAAAAAAGCCTTTTGTTTTTTTTTTTTTAGATGGAGTCTCGCTCTGTTGCCCACGCTGGAGTGCAATGGCACGATCTCAGCTCACTGCAACCTCTGCCTCCTGGGTTCAAGCAATTCTCTGCCTCAGTCTCTCAAGTAGCTGGGATTACAGGTGCCCACCACTATGGCTGGCTAACTTTTTTGTAGTTTTAGTAGAGATGGGGTTTCACCATATTGGCCAGGCTGGCCTTAAAGTCCTGACCTCGTGATCCACCCACCTCGGCCTCCCAAAGTGCTGAGATTACAGGCGTGAGCCACCGCACCCTGCCAAAAAAAACTTAAACCTTTTTTGTTTTTTTTAAAACAACTTAAAAAAAACTTAAACCATTAAAGTTTAAAGAAAAAAGCATTTTGACAAATGGAACTTGGGAGGAATGGTAATATAGTTCTTATTTTTAAAACTTTTCGAATTAAAGGTTTAAAAGTCAAAAATTTAGCAAGTTTGGGAGCATAGACTTTCCTCTTACTTCCCACACCCTGAGCCTTTTGAGCCATCTCTTGTTTTTAGTCTCTACACGAAATTAAGAAGGTGCTAATGCTAGTGACCTCTCTGGGCCAATGCCTGGTTTGGAGGAAGGAAAGCATCTTTTGTTCTAGCGCAAGAGTGTCCAACTTTTCATGGTGATCCACATGATCAGAAATCCAATTGTTTATGGTAACAGCGAAGTCCAGAAGGTCCTCCCTCTACTGGTGAATACTGAACATGACTCATGCATGAGTCAGGTACATATGGACGCTTTCATTCCATTTTCCTCTTGTCAGCATCCTTCAGAATGCTCTAGTTTCATGGTGTCATTTTAGCAGAATTAAATGTGAACACCTCATCTGTATCATGCATTACTTTCGGCTTTACTCACACTTACAAACTGATCCAAAGCTGTGGATTTGCATCTTGGAGCAGGGGTCAGTGCACAATGGCATCAATGACCGCAAGAATTAACAAGGCTTTAATGACCTGCCCAAGTTGGCTAATCCTGCAAGCCGCCACTTGTTAAAATTTCGACATGCACTTAATCCGTAGGTCAGGATGGCCAAAAAGGACCAGTCCTTCCCCCTCAAGCAGCAGGCCAGAAGCAGGAGGCTTGGGTTTTAGATCAAATGTCAGCGAGAGGAAGCCACAATGTGGGGTCCCCCAGATCACCTCCTTTTCTTTCTGATCAGACTGACCAAAAATCACAGATTGCCTTGACCGTTCTGTGACCCAGCCAGCTGCAGGTTTTCCCCAGCAGGCTTGAACTCAAACCAGGGCCTTGAACACTCCCAGGCACTAATAAAGGTATCTAGGTTGTTGCCCAAAACGTTGAAAGAAACTGGCTCCAGCCCTGAGTCAAATTCCCTAAACCCTCATATAAACTCCATACCCTGACCCCCTTGCTACAGACATGCTTAGGCAGAACATCCCTTTTCCCTCCCTGTCGGCAGGGAGGATTGCTGCAGTCCTCTGTAAGTTCCCCTAATAAATGCTTTGAATCGATCACCCTGACATCTGGGCTTCTTTCTTTGGAATCCCAATTGGCCCCATCTCTGGAGGGTTTGGGCCACTCCCTGTGGGAATTTCCCTGCTGCTGCTTTTGGGATGATTCCAGCTGCGAGTTTGGTGAGATGAAACATGCAGGGCTGGCATGGAATTCTTTTGTCTCCTCTTGTAGAAACAACAGGGACCCTCAGAGACAGAAAAACACCCACAGCTCCTCTTTGAGAGCTGGTACAAACTGTCTCTTTGGTGCAGGGTAGTGGTGGCTCATAAAAACCCACTCAATTTTGGTTTTAAAAAAATCTTCTTCAGAACTTCAGAGTAGGTAGTAATTAACACAAGAATATGTAATTTCTGATATGAGTGGACCACCCAGAATGTTTCTAATTCATCCACTCCTCTGGTCCCCAGTTCCTTGTCTTCTTAGGAAAATTTCCTCTTTTACATCCATCTGTACCTAACGGTTCATGCTTTGCCCTGACTCCCGCTGTGTCTTACCATGTTTGTGTTCTTATGTTTCTCACTCTCAGCCTCTCTTCCCTTTCTCTCCTTCCTGTCTCTCACAGCTTCCTCTGTCCCCAATGCTTTCTGCATCTTTTGTGCCAGGTGCTCTTTTCCTTTCTCTCCACCTCTGTCTTTCCAGGAGTCTTTGCAGAGCTCTCTCTATGTAGGCTTCCTCACGCCTGACGATTTCTTGGGCCTCTGTACCTCAGCTCTCCATGCCCACCGCTTATCCTCCGTTGGCCTCGTTCCCCTGATGCCCTGAATATTCCCAGACCAAATACTCACCACAATGAAGCCCAGTCCAACAAAGAGCACAACAGTGACTGTGGTTGCAGCCAGGGATATGAGGATAATTCCCATGGGTGTCAGGAGCCTGGTGGGTTTCACTGCTGTGACTGAAGTAGTTCACAGAAGGTGAGTGTCACCATGTTTAGTGGTTTCATCTTCTGTGGTCCCTGGGTCTGCAGTGACGGAGTCCTCGGTGGTCCCTGGGTCTGCAGTGATGGAGTGTTTGGTGGTCCCTGGGTCTGCAGTGACAGAGTCCTCAGTGGTCCCTGGGTCTACAGTGATGGAGTGTTTGGTGGTCCTTGGGTCTGCAGTGACGGAGTCCTCTGTGGTCCTTGGGTCTGCAGTGATGGAGTCCTTGGTGGTCCCTGGGTCTGCAGTGACAAAGTTCTCAGTGGTCCCTGGGTCTGCAGTGACAGAATCCTTGGTGGTCCCTGGGTCTGCAGACACATAGTCCTTGGTGGTCGCTGGGTCTGCAGTGACAGAGCCCTCGGTGGTCCCTGGGTCCACAGTCACATTGTCCTCAGTGGTCCCTGGGTCTGCAGTGACAGAGTCCTCGGTGGTCCCTGGGTCTGCAGTGATGTGGTCCTCAGTGGTCCTTCCATCTGCAGTTACATCATTTTCTCTTATTCTTGAGTCTTTAGGGCTGGTCTCTGGGTGCTTAGTGGAAATGCTTTGGCTTAGTCCTACTAAAAAGTAATCTCATTTAATGTGAATTGTTGATGGCCTATCCTCATCTGCTCTGCTCAGTATTTTCATAACTATCCTCACATCCAAATGACACCTCTCCCCAGGTAATGTGGTGAGATTTATTCGAGTTAGGGATCATTTGGCATTTTTGGTTTAATTCTGGTAAAACATATTCCACAAAGAATCCTCTTGCACTACAATATGGATTATCTTTGCTGAGCCACGCCCTTCGAAGGCCTGCTCACCCAGCTTTGACTCTGTCTTTTCCAGGTCTGGTCTCTTTCCGTGGGACACTAAACCTGACTCTTTCTCAAGCTCACTCCTCTCTGAACTGGTGTTTCAGCAATTGGGGTATTCTGGCTCCATGTTCATAGGTGTCTCCTCTCATCCATTTGTGCCTGCGGTTCTGGCAAACCAATGAGGCAGAAGCTGTGATTCATGTTAGAGATTACACTCAGGTCATGCTTGGTGTATGATTTAAAATGAGACAGCTGGCCAGGTGCTCCATCTCAAAAAAGGAAAAAAAAAGCATGAGACAGCTTCTGGGTCAGATCTGGGGCTAACGTGGTAGGCTTGGAGGCAGGGAAGATTCAAGGTGGTATGGGGGCAGGCTTAGGGGAGGAGTCATGAGGGGTGTGGGTGTGATCTAGTTGGACTGAGGGCAACACTGAGTCAGGTATAAGTACAAAGAAGAGATGAGTCCTCTTCGTCTCCAGCCCTCACTGCCCCAGGCAGCCGTCAGGACTTGGGAGTATTCTTATTCTTAGGAATACATGTAGCTTACATGGCATAAATTTTGAACTTTTGGGACTCTGCCCAAATCTAGTCATCCCTCCCTACTGCTGATGCTCCACATTTTTCTAATAGGGTTCAAGTCTTCCTTCCTTCCTTCCTTTCCCTCTCTCTCTCTCTCTTTTTTTTTTTTCTTTGAGACGGAGTCTCCCTCTGTCATCCAGGCTGGAGTGCAATAGCGCGATCTCCACTCACTGCAACCTCCACCTCCCAGGTTCAAGCGATTCTCCTGCCTCAGCTTCTCAAGTATTTGGGATTACAGGCGCGCGCCACCAGACCCAGCTAATTTTTGTATTTTTACTAGAGACTGGGTTTCACCATGCTGGCCAGGCTGGTCTCAAACACCTGACCTCAGATGACCCACCCACCTCAGCCTCCCAAAGTGCTAAGATTACAGGCATGAGCCACTGCACCTGACCGTTTCTTTCTTTTCTTTCTCTTTTTCTTTCTTTCTTTTTGGACACAGGGTCTTGTTCTGTGATTCAGGCTAGAGTTCAGTAGCACAATCATGGCTCAATGCAGCCTTGGCCTCCTGGCCTCAAGTGATCCTCCCACCTCAGCCTCCCGAGTAGATTAGACTACAGGCATGGGCTACCACGCCTGGCTGATTTTTTTGGTTTTTGTAGAGATGGTGTCTCACTATGTCGCCCAGGCTTGTCTCAAACTCCTGGGCTCAAGGGATCCCACTCCTTCTCAGCCTCCCAAAGTGCTGGGATTAGAGGAGTGCCAAATTTTTCATTTCTCCAGGAAAGTTGAAACAAAGAAACTTAAATAAAATGCACAAAATCAAAAGCAGAGCATTTCCTTAAAAGGGGATATGAGAAAGACGCTGGGGTCCCTGCTTCCCTGTGGCAGGTGATTGAGGGTAGATAACAGGGTCCGGAGTTCCCAAGGTTCACTCACCTATTCCGTACCTTCGCTCAGGACTGGGCCTGTCTGAGTCCCAAGAGGCTCCTTCTTCAGGGACCCTGACTCCATCTCTCCAGGTCCTGGGGACTTTTACATCCTTCTCACCAAAATTAACTCCTCCACCCCGTTGTGAACACCTCAGGAGAAGCAGGAGCAGCAGAAGGGGGACGTAGCGGGGCATTTTCTTCTCATCTCAAGAGAATCCACATGGTGCTAGCCAGGACACCTTTTCCTCCCTCCTTCTCTCAAACTTTTTCCACCCTGCCCTTCTCCTTCCACCCGCAGTGGCTGTGGGTTTATATGTGCTTTGCCGAGGGAAGCCAGAGCTCCGGGTCTTCCTTCCTGGAGGGAGGAGCAGCTTCTCAATTACCCCCTGTCACTCAAAGGAGTGGCCGGGCAGGGCAGAAGAGGCTGTCATGAGGGGAAGGGGGGCTCTCAGCTTTGGACCAGAGCCCAGAGTCGAGCAGCCACAGGGGATCAAGCCTGTCAGCGTGAGTGCACTGCTTTCTGATGTGGAGCCTAGTTGAAAACCATCCTCCACCCGGTGTTTCAGTGCTCAGGGAGGGCCTCGGCCTTCCTTCCCACAGGTGGCCACAGTAAAGTCAGGATGACCAAGGAGGGCATAGGCCAGGCCTGCCTGGGGGATGATGCTTGGCAAGAGGAGAGCTGGGTGTCAGAGGGTAGAGGACATTTGGTAAGGACCAAGAGAAGGTCCTCCAACAGAAGGAGAGGAACACTCACGAGGGGGCTAAAACACCCAATCTCTCTGTCTCTTAAAACCTCGCTCTTTGCTCAATCATCCACCCAAATCCTCTTCCTTGGCTTCTCTCCAGCCCACGGATCTCTCTCCTTGCTCCCCCTGCTCGAGTGCCCTCACCCCAGTGAGCTTTCTCAATTACTGCATGTATTAGTCTGTTTTCACGCTGCTGATAAAGACATACCCAAGACTGGGAAGAAAAAGAGGTTTAATTGGACTTACAGTTCCACATGGCTGGGGAGGCCTCAGAATCACGCGAGGGAGACAAAAGGCACTTCTTACACAGTGGCGGCAAGAGAAAATGAGAAAGAAGCAAAAGCGGAAACCCCTGATAAACCCATCAAATCTCATGAGACTTATTCACAGTCATCAGAATAGCAAGAGAAAGATGATTGGCGAAAAGAGAAAAACTCCCCACAGCATGAGGGGAATTGTGGGAGCTACAATTCAAGTTGAGATTTCTGTGGGGACAGAGCCAAGCCATATCACTGCACAAAATTAGTCCACTTGTGGTCAGGTCAGGCCTGAATGAGAATACCCACATCTTTTCCTCCTTCTCTGACCCTTATCCCTGCCTTGCCCACTCTTTAGAAGATCATTGTTGGTTCCCATCTTCATTCAGAGATGTCTCTCACCATTTGTGGGGCCTCTCTCTTTCCCAGTGTCCTTCTAACTAAAAGAGGAGTGTGAAATTGCAGGTGGGCCGGGAACTGTTCCTCTCTTAGAAGGCAGCTGATTTCCTGAAAATCAATTTAATGAATGGCTAGTTTACCACATGTAACTGACTATGTTAACTACTAGTATTATTTGAATGTGTTAAATATTTTCTCTTTTCCTTCCTTCCTTTCTTTCTTTCTTTCTTTCTTTCTTTCTTTCTTTCTTTCTTTCTTTCTTTCTTTCTTTCTTTCTTCTTTCTCTTTCTCTCTCTTTCTTTCTTTTTGACAGGGTCTTGCTGTATTGCCCAGGTTGGAGTGCAGTGGTGCTATCACAGCTCACTGCAGCCTCGATCTCCCAGGCTCAAGTGATCCTTCCACCTCAGCCTCCGGAGTAGCTGGGACTATATGCATGCACCACCATGCCCAGCTGATTGTTTTTTTATTTTTAGTAGAGACAAGGTCTCACTATGTTGCCCAGGCTGGTCTCGAACTCCTGAGCTCAAGAGATCCTCCCTCGTCAGCCTCCCAAAGTGCTGGGATTACAGGTGTGAGCCACATCACCCAGCAACATTTTCAAACATAGTATTTAAACACACTCAAAAGAACTTGTATGTATTTAGTATAACTAATGAATAGATTTCAAAAGAGTATAGTAAGGAAAATATCTGATTTTCTAAGTCAAGAGGTATAATTTGCATATGATAAAATTCACCCTTTTTCATGTGCAGGTCAATAGAATTTTTTTGGTTTGGCTTTGTTTTAGAATTTTTAAAACTTCATTTTGAGATAATTTTAGACTTACAGAGAATTACAAAAATAGTTAACAGAGTTCCCGTATATTTTTCCCCTAGCTTTTCCTCATGTCAATATCTTACATAGTACAATTATAGAAACTGAGAGATTATACATACAATTATAGAAGCTAAGAAGTTATTGTTGGTACAATACTATATATATTTTTTTGAGACAGAGTTTCACTCTTGCTGCCCAGGCTGGAGTGCAATGGCACGATCTCAGCCCACAGCAACCTTCCCCTCCCAGGTTCAAGTAATTCTCCTGCCTCAGCCTCCCGAGCACCCGGGATTACAGGTGTGTAATCCTAATGGTGATAGATTAGATTCCTTCTACATTTATTAATTGAAATTCTTCTGTAAGAAAAAGTCGTGCCCTCTCCCCATTTTATTTATTCAACTATTTGTTTATATCAGAATGGACTCATAAATGTTTATTTTGTTCTGTGAGTTATGATCCAATACTATCACTATTTATTTTGTTGCTCAAACTTTGGCCACTGGGAGCTCTTTCAGATGGGCTCCAGTGCCGTTTTAATGTCCTCCATCCTTTTTTTGTTTTGTTTTACTTATGAGACAAGACTTCACTGTGTTTCCTAGGCTGAATTGCGGTGGCATCATCATACAGCCTCAAACTCCTGGGCTCAAGGGATCCTCCTGCCTCAGCCTCCTACAAGTAGCTAGGACTACAGGCATGCACCAGCACACCCAGCTGATATCTCCATTGCTATTTTGTTTTGTTTTTTGAGACAGGGTCTCACTTTGTTGCCCATGCTAGAGTGCAGTGGTGCAATATTGGCTCACTGTAATCTCCGTATCCTGAGCTCAACTAATCCTCCCACCACAGCCTTCCAAGTAGCTGGGACAACAAGTGTGCGCCACCACACCCAGCTAACTTTTTTTTTTTTTGTAGAGACAAAGTTTTGTCATATTGCTCAGGCTGGTCTTAAACTCCTGGGCTCAAGCAATCCACTTGTCTTGGCCTCCCAAAGTGCTGGGATTACAGGCTCAAGCCACTGTGCCCAGCCTCTCCATCCGTGGTATTTTGTTTTTTTGTTTTTTTTGTGTGTGAGATGGAATTTCGTTCTCGTTGCCTAGACTGGAGCGCAATGGTGCAATCTCGGCTCACTGCAACCTCTGCTTCCTGGGTTCAAGTGATTCTCCTGCCTCAGCCTCCCAAGTAGCTGGGATTACAGGCATGCACCACCATGCCCAACTAATTCTGTATTATTTTAGTAGGGAGAGGTTTCTCCAAGTTGGTCAGGCTGGTCTCCAACTCACGAACCTCAGGTGATCCCCCAGCCTGGGCCTCCCAAAGTGCTGGGATTACAGGCATGAGACACTGTGCATGGCCCTCTCCATCCCTTTTTAAAACACTTTCTTGCATTCTGGTATTACAAGATGCTTCATGCTCATTTTTTATTTTGTCCATCCAGGCCCTGGAATCAACTATTTCTCCACAGAGCTCTGGCTCCTCTTTGTATTAGAGAATAATATTTAGAAACCAAGATTTGGGTACTAGGTGTGCTCATTCATAGTGGATGTCACTGCTTCTTGCCCCCACGGAAGTTAGAGCTAGGAAACGTATGTATGTAAACTAACTCATGCATAAACACAGGTCTGTATTTATTTCTGCAATGACCTGTCTGCATATACAGATTGAATCCCTTATCTGAAATGCTTGAGACCGTAAGTGTTTTGGATTTTCAATTTCTTGGATTTCGAAATATTTGTATATACACAATGAGATATCTTGTGGATGAGACCCAAGTCTAAACATGAAATTTGTTTATGTTTTATATATATCTTATACATGTAGCCTGAAGGTAACTTTACGTGATATTTTAAATAATTTTGTGCATGAAACAAAGTTTGTGTATGTTGACTTGTGGTGTCATGTTGGTGCTCAGCAAGTTTTGGATTTTGGAGCATTTTGGATTTTCAGATGAGGGTTGCTCAACCTGTGTTTTAAACACAAGCATGGGTGCATTTTGACACCTCCAGCTTTAATCCAGCAACATGGGGTTCATTCTAGTCTCTCCCTTTTCTTTATTTGTAACTCCTTTCTCTGACATGGCTACGAATGTCTATAAACATATTTTTTTACTTATTTTTTCAACCCTAATAAACAAATAGTGGTTTCAGAACTGCTAATTCATACCCTTGCCAGAAACACATTTACCAACTACAGTACAGTGTTTCTGTATTTTTTTTTTTTTTTTGTCTTTAGCTTTATGGTCAAAACACAGTTTTTCTTTTCTTTTTCTTTTTTAAATTTGAGACAGGGTCTTGCTCTGTCACCCAGTCTGGGGTGCAGTAGCACTGCAGCCTTGATCTCCTGGACTCAAGCGATCCCTCCATCCTAGCCTCCTGAGCAGCTAGGACTACAGGCACACCATCATGCCCAGCTAATTTTTTTAACTTTTTGTAGAGGCGGGGTTCTCGCTGTGTTGCCGAGGCTGATCTCAAGCTCCTGGACTCAAACAAGCCTCCTGCCTTGGCCTCCCAAAGTGGTAGGATTACAGGCATGAGCCATCATGCCTGACTCAAAACAGTTTTTCAAAGTTACTTAGGCCAGCTCCTTCTTCTCCATCCGTTTCACTGTGCTTACATGAGTCATTTGTCAGAGTCTGCTTTCCATCTTTCCCTCCACATCCTGGTTGATTTGCTGAATTTCCATACCCTAAAAATCACTTTTTGTAGTGTACAGTTCTATGGATTTTGATAAATGGTAGAGTCACGTATTCGGCGCACCGAATCCCTTCATCCTCCTCAATCTCCCCCCATGCCGTTCCTTTAGAGCCAACCCTTCTCCCACTTCCCAAACCCTGGCAACATGGATCTTGTTTCTTTCCCTATAATTTTGCCATTTTCAGAATGTCATATGAAGGGAATCGTATAGTCTGTAGCCTTATAGTTTTAGATATAATTTATATACTATTCATAGGAATCATATTTGCAATTATTCATCAGAGTCAAGAATAAATAATTTTTTCTTGCACATATTTTTGAATAAAGTCTTTCATGTGAAAATTGTTATAAATAAATATATTTATCTTGAGTATTTTCTTAACTAGAAAACATGCTATAAATCAAGAAGACATTCCCCATTCTCCCTCTGTCTCCCAGCCTCCAGCCTGCAGCAGGAGGGAATCACACTGAATAGGATTTAAAGAAAATTTAAAAATTCAAAGAATTAGTCATTTGATGAATTAGTTTTAAGAAAATTGCCTAGAGCTCATTAGATGAAGACCTCCCTAAAACAGGACTTTTAACAAAAGTCACCATAAATTCTGGAGTTGGGGATTTTTAAAAAAGTGCTAGGCAGAAATCTCTTGAAATTCACATTTCTTCTCGTTTTTTTTTTTTTTTTTTTTTTTTTTGAGACAGGGTCTCACTCTGTTACCCAGGCTGGAGTGAGTGGCACAATCACAGCTCAGTGAAGGCTTGACCCCCTGGGCTCAAGTTATCCTCCCACCTCAGCTGGGACTACAGGTGTGCACCACCACACCTGGCTAATCTTTTTAACTTTTTGTAGAGACAGGACCTCACTCTGTTGCCCAGGCTGGTCTCAAACTCCTGGGCTCAAACAGTTTTCCCACTTTGGCCTCCCAAAGTGTTAGGATTACAGGCATGAGCTACTGTGCCCAGCCTCCACTTCTTTTCTTCTTTCCCATTTCCATGTTTTGTGGTCTTAGATTTGTCTATTTGCTTCTTTCTTTGCAGGGGCATTACAACACCATTTTTGCTGGTTTCCAGCCTCTATTTTCTACTCACTCAGCTGATTGAAGTGTTCTTATTGGGGAAAAAATTGTGTCCCACTACACCTTAAAGTGATCTGTGGGCTTTGTGCTGTTAAAGGATGAAATCTGGCCTCCTTGGAGTGGTGTTCAAAGCCACGCATTAGCCCCCAGCCCCAGCTCCCTCTGCTGTGCTCTCTAGCCCCACAGGTCTTCTGACCTTCACTGGCCGTGCCATGCCCAGTC
The DNA here is from genome assembly GCF_000001405.40 of Homo sapiens. Lineage (NCBI taxonomy): Eukaryota > Metazoa > Chordata > Mammalia > Primates > Hominidae > Homo > Homo sapiens. Next base: position 2,351,781 of record NT_167249.2, on the reverse strand, counting down.
TTGCACAAGCTGCTTGCTTGCCTGGCATTTCCTCTTCTGCTCCTCGTAAATGCCTGCTAACTCCTCAAAATCCAAATGTCACCTTCTATGTGAGTCAGCCTCTCCTCCCCTCATCAAGTTAGATGTTTCCTCCTGTGGTGCTTCCATTCATACTACTTGATGCGTTGGCCTGTAACTTATGTACCTCCCTCACCCAACTGTGACCTACAGGGTCATCCTAGCTGCCCCAGCTCCTTGAGACCTCATGCCAAGCAGGTGTCCAGTAAATATGGTGAATGAATGAATGAAAAAATGAGTGCAAAAGATGATAATTATTTTACGAAAAGGTCTGGGGGCTCTTAAAACTGAAGAGGAGATAATGGATACACTGATAAATATCTTCAAGGTATTATTTTAAAACCCTAATATAAAAATAAAAATTAAAAAATCCCAAAATAAAAAACCCGAATATACATTTTTTCTTCCTATTGAGGTAAAATTTACAAAAAGTGAAATGCACAGATCTTAAGAATTCAGTTAGTGGAGGTTTCTTGTTTTGTTTTGTTTTTTTGAGACAGGGTCTCACTCTGTTGCCCGGGTTGGAGTGCAGTGGCACCATCACGGCTCACTGCAGCCTTGACCTCCTGGGCTCAAGCAATCATCCCACCTCAGCCTCCCAAGTAGCTAGAACTACAGGTGTGCATTACTATACCCGACTAATATTTGTATGTTTTGTAGAGATGAGGTCTTGCCATGTTGCCCAGGCTGGTCTCAAACTCTTGGGCTGAAGCAATCCTTTCACCTCAGCCTCCCAAAGTGCTGGAATTACAAGCGTCAGCCACCACACCCAGCTGTTAGCTGAGTTTTGACAAGTGTATTTACCTGTGTAACCAACAGACCAGTTGATATAGAAAACATTCCTATCACCCAGAAAGTGCTCCCTTCCTAAAAACCCTCACCCTCATAGGAGATCTGATCTCTGCCACCATAGATTAGTTTTGCCTATTGTTGAATTTCATGCAAATAAATTGTACAGTAGATACTCTCTTGCATCTGTTAAAAATAGATTTTGTTGTTGTTGTTATGTTTTTTGTTTGTTTTGTTTTGGAGACAGAGTCTTTCTCTGTTGCCCACAGTGGAGTGCAGTAGCGCAATCTCTGCTCACTGCAACCTCCGCCTCCCAGGTTCAAGCAATCCTCCCACCTCAGCTTCCCGAGTAGCTGAAACTACAGGCATGTGCCACCACACCCGGCTAATTTTTGTATTTTTAGTAGAGACGGGGTTTTGCCATGTTGGCTGGGCTGGTTTTGAACTCCTGACCTCAGGCGATCCGCCCGCCTCAGCCTCCCAAAATGCTAAGATTACAGGCATCATGAGCCACCGCACCCAGCCTAAAAACAGTTTTGTTCATCATATTGTAAAATGTTCTTAGAGAAACAGCTTGGTCCTGTTAAGGCTCTCCCAAAGACCCAGGAGAATCCCAGAAGCTGAAGAGACTTAGCAGAGGGTGAAACTGATAAAGCAGAGGCGAGTGATTCACAGGGAGGAAGAATCAGTGGGGTGCGTGTGCGAGAGCAAGTTGCACCAGAAGCCTGGGTGGGACCAGGCCTGAGCATGGTGCTGACACTGGCATGTGTGCCCTCTGAGGCCTGGTTTTGGGGGAGCTGCTGAGGATCTAGACCGTAGCAGGGCAAGCCAGTCCTGCCCTTGCAAAAACTGGGAGCACATTCTCCCTGCCCAGGACAGTTGCTGGGCTGGGAGCCCACAGGAGAGAAAGGTGGCAACTCACACCTGCAGCCCAGAGCAGACTTGAGTGGCCAGGAAAAGTGGCCATGTCTAAGGGTGGCCCCAGTAGCAAGCTCTTTCCTACCTCACAACATGAAAACAGGATCACTTTCCTCCAGTTCATGTTCTAGGCTCACGCAGAGGCTGTTTTCCTGCCATGCAACACACGTCTGTAAAGACCAGCACCTGCCTTCCCCCATCTCTCCTGACTCCATTCTTCCATCGACCCAGAGGCCTCGGGGAGCAGGGAAGGAGTGGGGAAGAAAATGGGACAGATGTGAGGTCTCTGGATTTCATGCTAGGATTTGAGAACTGGGAGTACACAGCGAAAGAGTGTCCTCATGATATAGGAAACCTCTCTTCACAGCAATATACAAGCACACACCCACAGTCTGGCTGTCACATAGAGCAGATGCACTTATTTAATCATTCAGCACTAGCGATAGCCTCCTGTTTCAGGTCTGGGAGAACTAAACAGAAGGTAGGAGTGTCAGGGGCTGGAGCAGAGCTGGGAGGAGCAGCCCTGGGGGCAAGTGAGGAAAACCGAGACCGCTGGTCCTCCCCACCCTGAGGACAGTGAAGTGCCTGCCTTTAGGGACACTGTGTCTCCTCATCAGCTCCATGCCTGTGGGAGAACACTGGTCTCTAAAATCCGTTTCAGTCTCACTTGACCCATCTTGGACTCCATGATATCCTTGAGGACATGGACCAAGGTTTGGGATGTGAAGATCTTTGGTGAAGAGGTTTCTTAGGCACAGAGAGTTTCTCTAGAAAACAAAAGGATGGATCGTTCAGAGTTATGCCCCTCTTCCAGTGCTCTCCCATCCCACGTGTCCCCACTCCCCATTCGGCCTCCCCAGCCTCAGTACTCCTTTGGCCCCTTCTCTCCTCATCAATTTCCTCTGAACATGTACCAGCTTTTCTAGCCCTCTCTCTTGCTGGTTCTCACCTGCTGTCTCTGTCTTGCTTTGTCCCTCTCCTGATTTCTCATTCCCTATTAGCCACACAATGACCCTACTCTCTCTACCCTGCTTCCCTCCTCAGTTCCCTGCACTCCCTCCCTCAGAAAAAGGATTTCCCACACATCAGGCACTCATGAAATAAAAGAGCCCTGTGAAGAGAATCACAGCCATTGCAACCAAGGCCAGAGTGACTAGGATGACTTCCCACAGCCTCAGGCATCCATTAGACCTTCCCTCATTCCCTGGAGGGGCTGCACTTGTGCTGGTGACACTGGAGGTTGCAGTTGTTGTGTTAGTTCCACTGGAAGATATAGTGGACCCAGGGCAGGGGGGTTGTAGTGATTCCACTGGGAGGTGTGGTTGGTCCAGGGGGCGTGGTCACGGTGATTCTGCTGGATAATGTGGTTGATCCTGGAGGGGTGGTCACAGTGATTCCACTGGAAGGTGGGGTTAATCTGGGGGGATGATCGTGGTGATTTCACTGGAAGTTACAGCTGGTTAAGAAAGGGTGGCTGGTTGGCTCCACTGGAAATTTGGTTTTGTTCACCGCTACCGCTACTATGAGTAATACTAGTGATAATAATAGTGGCTGTCATTTAAGAATGCTCACTATATTCCAGGCACTGTGCTAAGTGCCACATATAAATTAGTACTAAAATCCTTACAATACCTCCTTGAGATAGAAACTAATATTACCCCCATTTTATAGATAGGTAAATTGAGGTTTAGAGAAGTTAAGCAGCTAGTTCCAGGTCAGACAGTTAGTAGGTAGTGGAACAACGATTTAAATCAAGGCAGTCTGACCCCAGAGCTAGCCCCTAAAGCCCTTAACCCATGCATTATTCCATATCCCAGGTATGGGGGAGTTACAAGACCAGGGTTTACAGGGGATGGTGTTATTCTTTTAACTATTCATGATACTCTCCGACTAAAGAACGTAAGAGAAAAGTTGAAGGCCCATCAAGCTCCTCTCCAAACAGTATTGTGCCCTTCCTCTAGGGGGCAGATAATCAAGGGGAATCGGTTTGGGAGGGGACCATGATGTGCATTTTTACTACATCGGGTAATTCTTCTGAACACAAAAGTTTGGGGCTGGGCGCAGTGGCTCACACCTGTAATCCCAGCACTTTGGGAGGCCAAGGCAGGAGGATCACTTGAGGCCAGGAGTCTCGACCAGCCTGGACAACATGGAGAAACCCTGTCTCTACTACACATACAAAAAAATTAGCCAAGCATGGTGGTGCAAGCCTGTAATCCCAGCTACTCGGGAGGTTGAGGCACGAGAATCGCTTGAGCCTGGAAGGTGGAGGTTGCAATGAGCTGAGAGCACGCCACTGCACTCCAGCCTGGGCGACGGAGCAAGACTCTGTCTCAAAAAAAAAAAAAAATTGTTTGGGAGCCACTGGTTTAAGGGACCCCAGATGGTCTTGACACATGGACTAGTAAAGAATCAGTCATGTCAGCTTGAAGAAATAAGATCTTCTGGGATTCAGGAAAGTGGCTCAGCTTTCTTGTTGGATCAGTTAGAGTTAAGGTGAGACTGAGCTTCTTTCCCTGTCATGCCTATTTTCTACCCTGTTCTGATTTTCCATCCCATTAACAACCAAGCCCTTGACCTCCCAGATCCCTATAGACCCTCTCCTCATCGATGGCCCTGTTCTCTCCCTGGATGTAGGTGCTGCCCTTCACCCTCCACATATGTTCTTGCCTTGGTGTTGTCTGGACTAACATAAGGATTGCCAATTTAGATTTGAGGGAAGAATCCCAAAACTGTGTGTCGATGCCTTAGGTTAGGGTCAGAGCCAAGAGAGAAACTAAGTGAGAAGTTGAGATGAAAAGCTGGCCTGTGGAGAGGGAATAGACTGGTTTTGTGTTGGTCAGGGGCATAAAACACAAGAGTCAAAGCCACGCTGGGGCAGATTCTAGAGAGAATTAAATCTGCGTGAGTGTGGAACAGCAATGTCTCATGAAGTGTTTAATTAGAGGCTAGATGACTGCTGTCAGAGACGCTGGAAATAGATCCCTGCCTATTACAGGTGGTCAGACACTAATTCAAGTTCTCTTCCAACTCTAATGCGCCTATATCTGGGAATGATGTATTATAGAGTAAATAGGTCCATCTTCTGGGCAGAAGAGTTGCCACTGAGAACAGAACGGAGGACAGATGCTGGGTTGCATTGGAGAGAAAGAAGCAAAATAATCATCCCTCCTGCCTTGAAGAGAATGGGGGCAACAAGGACAGAGTGTGTGTCCCAGAAGTTGTCAACATTTTCCCCAAACTCTACTCAAACTCCAAGATTATTCTCTTTTAAACAAAATCACTCACCATTTCCTAAAAGTAGAAGGAAGTGAAACAGCCAGCATGCAAGGGAAAATTGCTTTCTCTTTCTTTTGAGATAGTCTGCCTGTGTGAGGCTGGAAGGGAAGGCTCCTCCCTTAGTCCCGATGGGATTAAGCCTTAGAAGGGAAAGGCAGAAAATGAGAATCTTGAGGGTGGAGTCTCAAGGTGGAGATCTGAGGGCTGGACTACTAGGAATTCGGAACTCCAAAGAATAGGTCCTCAATCTGAAGAGAAGCACCGCTAGGGGGACCTGGGCTACAGGGGAAGCTGGATGTCTGGTCCTTGATGTTCCTTCACAGAATGCCACCTCTTCTTTTTCTCTTTCAAAGAAGGCCTTTAGGGCGGGTACAGTGGCTCATGCCTGTAATCCCAGAACTTTGGGAGGCCAAGATAGGCAGATTACGAGGTCAGTAGTTCGAGACCAGCCTGGCCAACATAGTGAAACGCCATCACTACTAAAAATACAAAAATTAGCTTGGTGTGGTGGCACATGCCTGTAGTCCCAGTTGCTTGGGAGGCTGAGGCGGGAGAATCGCTTGAGCCCAGGAGGCAGAGGTTGCAGTGAGCTGAGACCACGCCATTGCACTCCAGCCTGGGCAACAGAGTGAGACTCCATCTCAAAAAAAAAAAAAAAAAAAAAAAGGAAGAAGAAGAAGGCCTTTAAAGCATCATCTGGACTGGGCAAGGCCTGGACATGTAGGCTGTTGTTCTTCCAGCTGTGAGCAGTGGCAGAATCCCCAAGTTTAGAGAGGAGGGTACAGCAGCCAGAAGGTAGGTGAGGGTGGAGGATGACTTAGTCCCATTAGGAAGGGCCTGGGGAGGAGTGGGAAGTGGAATAGTTCAAGGGGATCAAGGCTGTCAAAGTGGAGGGGCTCCACCCTCTGAGGCAGGGATGGGGCAGAAAACCTGCTCTAGTTGGAGGCCTCCTTTCCTGGACAAGAAGTCCTGAGAACCCAGTATAGCTGGGCAGGAGCAGGTGTGTGAGAAGGAAGCCCCTGCAAACAGAGCTTAGCAGGTAGGGCACAGGAAGTGAGATCCCTGTGAATAGGCACTGGAGACTGGACCTCTGGGCATTGCTGAATAATTAGTAAGCCTGCAAAGCATACCTTGAATGAGGTGGGGAAGAGAGACCCGGGGGAGGGAAATAGACTCTGGGGTCTCCGCAGCGTGGGAGCTGGGGGTGGGAGAGTTGGGGGTGGTGGTGTGAGCTGTTGAGGAGATGGAACCAATGGTGTACTGGGTCAGTGCATGCCTGTGTGCTAGAGCTCATTGCTGAATTTTCAGGATTTTTGGCAACACAGCCATCATTAAAAATTAACGTGTATTAACTTACAGTGAACTAAATTATATTTAAAACAAAGGTAAAAATGTTCCAAACTCATTACTTTCTAATTGCTTTACCACATTTTACTATTATCTCTGCGCACGGAGTTACGTACGCCTATCACATCTGCCTGGTGGGAATGGTATGGAATGGTGTGCCGCCCATCGCTTCCCATTCTATACACAGTGATTCACGCTGGTCACACGCAGTCAGCTCTGGCGGGTGCATTTGCGCCACGAGAAGTGAGTTGTTAAACATTTACCAGCACACACGCTGCAGGGGACCTAAGGAGAGTGATGGCACTGGAAAGAGGAATGCTCCTGCTTCTAATCCTCCTTGATAGAGGCGCTCCCCTTTTGTTTTTGAAGAATTTATAGAAGCTTTTCCACCGGGGAGCTTCAGCTAGGTCTTCTCATCAGTGCTGTGTGCCAGACAAGCGAGATGATCAAGGAAGTACCTACACTTTGGACACTGTCAGTTTGCCTGGGGACTGAGAGCTTACAGTCCAAGCTTGCTTCAACTCTGGCTGAGGCCAACAGAGAGAGCCCAAAGACAACTGAAGGAGCGGCAGAAAACAAAGATGGGAACGGGGTAATTGGCTTCCAGTTCCTTCATTCGCAGGTCATGAAAAAAACCTGGGGCTAGACTCCATGAGAGTTTTTTTGTTTTCTGTTTTGTTTGTCTGTTTGTTTGTTTGAGACTGAGTCTCGCTCTGTCACCCAGGCTGGAGTGCAGTGGCGCGATCTCGGCTCACTACAAGCTCCGCTTCCCAGGTTCACGCCATTCTCCTGCCTCAGCCTCCCGAGTAGCTGGGACTACAGGCGCCCGCCACCACGCCCTGCTAATTGTTTTGTATTTTTAGTAGAGACAGGGTTTCACTGTGTTAGCCAGGATGGTCTCGATCTCCTGACCTTGTGATCCACCCGCCTCAGCCTCCCAAAGTGCTGGGATTACAGGCGCGAGCCACCGTGCCCGGCCTGTTTTCTGTTTTTTTGAGACAGGGTCTTGCTCTGTTGCCCAGGCTGGAGTGCAGTGGCACAATCTTGACTCACTGCAACCTCCCAGGCTCAAGTGATCCTCTTACCTCAGCCTCCCAAGTAGCTGGGACTATAGGCATGTGTCACCACGCTTGGCTAATTTTTGTACTCTTTTGTAGAGCTGGGTTTTCACTATGTTGTTCATGCTGGTCTCAAACTCCTGGGCTCAAGTAATCCTCCTGCCTCAGCCTCCCAAAGTGCTGGGATTACAGGTGTGAGCCACTGCACCTGGCCACCAGGGGACTTCTTAAGCATCAAATCATTTCCTTCCAGCTTTTGGCTAAGTTTGAATTTGGAAAAGTTGCAGGAGAAAAACGTCAAATTATCTAGAGGGGAAAATATATTGGAGTATGTTCTAACAATATGATCCTAATTACTTATATCTACAAAAATGTTTAAATGGCCCTGATACAACATTTTTGGGAAAGGACAGCAGCACTTGGAGGGGCTAAAAAGGGATTTGCCCTACCTCCTCCAATCTCCATCTGGCCCCTTCAAAGCCACCTGAATATACATAAAACCTAATTTGAAACAATATGGTTGCTATACAAATACAGCTTTTATAAAAGACCCCTAAAAAGTATTTCCTTCCCTCCTTTGTAAGATATCCACAAATGAACAATCTAATGATACCTAATAATAGTTAGCTTTTATTGAGTATTCCATGTGCCAGACATTATTCAAAGTGTTTTACAGATATTAGTTTATTTAGTATTTATATTACTCTATGCTTAGGTGCCACAATCTCTGTTTTACAAATTTAAGATGCCTCAGTTCATCTTGCCCAGACTTGTAAAGCTAACAAGTGGCAGAATCAGGATTCATACTCAGGCAGTCTGACTCCTGTGCCACGTTCTTTCTTTTTTTTTGAGATGGAGTCTCGCTCCGTCACCCAGGCTGGAGTGCAGTGGCATGATCTCGGCTCACTGCAATCTCTGCTGCCCAGGTTCAAGCTATTCTCCTGCCTCAGTCTCCTGAGTAGCTGGGATTACAGGTGCATGCCGCCACACCCAGCTAATTTTTGTATTTTTAGTAGAGATGGGGTTTCACTTTGTTGGTCAGGCTGGTCTCGAACTCCTGAACTCAGGTGATCCACCTGCCTTGGCCTCTCAAAGTGCTGGGATGACAGGCGTGAGTCACTGTGCCCGGCCTGCCATGTTCTTAATCACTATAAAAAGAAGGCATCAATTACAAACATTGGTCCCAGCTGCCCCCTTGAAAATATTGCATGTACCTAAACCCCTCCCCCAGAGAAATTCTGGAGCTTCCACAGAAGCAGCAAAGGTTCAGCCAGGTTAAGTTTAAAATAAAACAGACGCAATATTTATCAGAAGGGACATTCCATTAGAATGAGTAAGTTAGAAGCAGGTTCTCCAGGCAAAGCTGACTGAAAGAGATCGTATTTTGATACATGTTTGGAGGGTCAGTGCTGACAACCGTGAAGGGACAGGATGCAGAGGCTAAGAGCTTAGAACTTCTGTCTTGTTTAGAGAATGACAGATTAATTTACCTCAGTATTAGAAATGTTAGGATGCAAACAGTTGCATACAAACAGAAAAATCACAAAGACACAGAGTAATTTTGGAATTGTATTAGTCTAACCTAGGGAAAAAAAAAAAAGAAGAGAAAGGTGGAGTCCTATTTAGGAATTGCCTGAACTCCAGATTCTCTCTGCCCTGTCCTTTAATTTTAGCATGTCCTAATTCAGATCGCTTTCAGACGTCTAGACAGGTCGTCTGCTTTCTCTTCCTAGTTTTCATCTCCGATCTCCAGTTCCACTGCAGCCCTCCAGACTGCCAAGCTTAATGTGCACTTAGCACATTTAACGTGTTTCCACTCTCTCCCCTGGATGGCAGGGACCCCGATCCTGGGAACTACCTTTTCCAGGCTCCCTTGCCAGGAGGCTCCAGGCACATTTTACCTTCCTCCAGTGAAACAAACTCTCATGAGACTCAGTTCTGTGGCAGTAATGGCTGCATGCGTGCATGGCTTCCTGGGGGAGGATTTTGCGGTGGCCTCCGCATTTCCCTGCCTCTGGCACACTGTGGGGCTGTGGAGGAGTGGAGGAGCCTCAGCAGTTGCCTGCACGTCCCTGCCTCCGGTGACCGCAGATCTCTGCTCTCGGTGGCAGTGAACCTGAAAGCTATTGGCTGTCATCCTGACTTTCACTCCTCCACCTTTTCGAGCGGTTTTATAAGCACCTACTTCTTGTACTAAATCCTTTTATGCTTGAAATATCCAAAGTGGTTTCTGTTTTCGTAAGTGAACTCTGACTGTTACAGTATTTGGTATAACAAGAGGTTTCAGAAAATTGACGTTCAAAGGTGGCAATCTGGGATTGGTTCCCTGACCCATTAGGCTTGAGGGCAGGGGCGACCTCATGCTAGTATAAAATGAAGTCTTTGTATTACACAGCAAAAGATAGAAAAAGTGACTTAAGTTATCACCTGTGGTGGTGCCTGGAATAAAGCAATTGTTGAAGGGAAGGGCCGGGAGCCCAGGTGGTCGCTGTGACAGATCGTGAAGCTGGGAGTGTTGACTGCCGGGACTGTGGGTGGCTGCACTGGGAGATTACAGAAAAAAAATGACCCCTCTGCTGCATCCTCAGTCAAGGCATTGCCAGCGAACACAGAGCTTTCTCTGAATATTCTAAAAGACATGCTTATCTCTCAAAGCCACAGGGACTATGTATGAAAAAACCAGACCCACAGTTTGATTCTGCAGATTGGAGAATTATATTCAACTTGCATTTATATCTTTGCCAGTCTCGTGTGTGACATTTGGAATATTTGTTAACTGAAGCCCAGAATTGGAGTGGAGACACCTGGGTAGATTTTGATGAGTCTGAAAAACTTTGAACCTCCAAATCCCGCAGAGCTTTCCTTGCCAGCAGAAGTAGCCCCTCCTCCCCTCTGTGAGGAAGTCACTTTCTCTTGCCTGAAGACCCTATAGTGACGCCCTCACAGCACTCCCTTGGCAAGGGGACACAGATTTTCCTCAGGCCCTGTATTAGTTTCTTATTGCTGCATGACAAATTACCACAAATTCAGGCTGAAGATAGCACAAATATATTATCTTGCAGTTCTGGAGATCGGAAGTTTAAAATAGGTTTTACTGGGCTAAAGTCAAGGTGTCAGCTGGTCTGTGGTCCTTCTGGAGGCTCTAGAGAAGAATCTGTTTACTCACCTTTTCCACCGCTAGAGGCTTCCAGCACTCCTTGGTTTGTGGCCCCTTCTTCCATCTTCAAAGCTTGCATCGCAGCATCTTCAAATCTCTCTGACTCTGACTCCTGTCTCCCTCTTTTTTTTTTTTTTTTTTGAGATTGAGTCTTGCCCTGTTGCCCAGGCTAGAGTGCAGGGGCGCAATCTTGGCTCACTGCAACCTCCACCTCCTGGGTTCAAGCCATTCTCCTGCCTCAGCCCCCTGAGTGGCTGGGATTACAGGCACCCACCACTACACCCGGCTACATTTTGTATTTTTAGTAGAGACAGGGTTTCATCATCTTGACCAGGCTGGTCTCGAACTCCTGATCTCGTGATCTACCCTCCTCAGCCTCCCTAAGTGCTGAGATTACAGGTGTGAGTCACTGCGCCCGGCCTCTCATCTCCCTCTTATAAGGACCTTTGTGATCACATTGGGCCCATACAGATAATCCAGGATAATCTCCCCATTACAAGATCCTTAATGCGATCATGCATGCAGAGTCCCTTTTGCCATATAAAGTAACATATTTCCAGGTTCTGGGAATTGAAACGTGGATGTTTTTGAGGGGCTGTTATTCTGCCTACCACAGGCCCTATTACAATACCCCTCGTGGCCTCCAGCTCCATGCGTTGAGTCAGATCTAGGGGCTGAAAACAACCATAGATGACAGTGAGCAAGGAAACAGGGGCCTCAACTCTAAACACAAGGAACTGGACTCTGCCACAACCACGTGAGCTTGAAAGAGATGCCAGCCTCCAGATGAGGATGCAGCTCAACTAACACCTTCATTTTAACCTGTGAGACTGAGCAAAGGAGTCAGTCATGCTGGCCCCAGACCCGCCTCATAGAACTGTGGTCTGATAAATGGGTGTTGGTTTAAGCTGCTGCATTTGTAGTAAGTTATCACTGATAGAAAACAAATACATGGGTGAACTTATCACATGTTCTAGATTCAAAACATTAGCTCAAGTAGGTGTGAGTTGCACTAATAGTTCTCTCGGTTGCTTGAAATGTGGACTTAGTGGTGGCCTACACTAAATAAAGTTGAGATCCCAGTATTTCATTAGTATAAGCGGAAGAAAAAAATCAAAAGACTTAGGAAGAGAGTTATGTTGGAATGGATTTAATATGTGCAACTTGCTCACTCACTCTTTCATTACGTCCTCCCAGAAGGTTCCATTGAAACTGTCTTCATCAAGGCATTAGAAGGGAGAGGACCAGCATCGTTGAAAAGCTCTGTAGCAGCTCTTTGCTAAATGCAATGGTGGATGATCTGACCATTGAAATGAGCTTCCTGATTTCAGTGGGCATGGTGGAATCTTCAGGAAACAGTAGGTGGGTGGTAGGGCTTTCCCTCCAGAGACAAGACAGGCATGATTATCGATGTGGGCATCACGACCAGAGCTGTAATCAGGGCTCTTTGGCTATGGCTAATTAATCATTAATCAATTAACCACTAAAATCTTACTTGATCTATATAAGTGAAAATATCCAGGTGGTTGAACAGAGAGCTGACTTGAGTTGCCACAGACTCTCACCTAATTCCCAGGCCCGAACCTGTTCACAGACCTAGAAATGAAGGGAAGGCAGCAAGATCCACCACCACCACCAGGATGTGCCGCGAATCTTCCTCCTAGCTTTCAAAAGGAATCTCAGCCATTTATCATCGTGACAGTGCAATGGGGAAATGAAAACACCCAAACCTTTAGGGTAACATACAAGACATCATTGCGATCTACAAGTCAGGGTGGAGCTTATGGGGCTTAGAACATAAATGACGTGGCCGGGCACAGTGGTTCATGCCGGCAATCCTAGCACTTTGTGGGGCCAAGGCAGGTGGATTACTTGAGGTCAGAAGTTTGAGACCAGCCTGACCAACAAGGTAAAAACCTGGCTCTACTAAAGATACGAAAATTAGCCAGGCATGGTGGCAGGCGCCTGTAGTCCCACCTACTCGAGAGGTTGAGACAGGAGAATCGCTTGAACCCGGGAGGCGGGAGGCGGAGGTTGCAGTGAGCCAAGATCGTGCCACTATTCCAGCCTGGGCGACAGAGCAAGACTCCATCTCAAAAAAAAAAGAACATAAATAACATCTTACTCGAAGTTCATCTCTAGGCTCCGTCTGCGCATATTTCCCCACTTTCAAGTGGGAACCAAAGCAAGGCCATAAGGCTGCTTGAGACATTGCTGACTAGATCCAATGTTGCCTAAAATGTCTGTGGTACATCAGAAAGCTGTGTGGAGACACTGGGTAGCTAGTAGAAGAGCCACGGCACAGGTCCCCAGAGTTTTGGAGCAAAAGCAAGCCCTCTTCCACATCCTAGCATCTGACTTAATCTTGGGTCCTCAGCATGCGAGGGTTCATGAAACATGAGCTGCCCTTTATGAACTGGGTGTTGTCTGCACCACCACACTAGACTGGGCATACTTAGCAGTGCTCACCTCCTTGAATGGAAGTGGTGCCTGTGAATTTGGCTGAGTTAGTTCCTCAAGGCACAAGTAAGAGGCATGAGTAGGCAGCTGTAACTCCAGTGGCATCTCCAGCTACATTCCTAACCTCTCTCTCCATAATCACAGTCACATGAAGGGTTTCCTATGTCTAGTTGACTGAGAAAGGAAAGATTTGGTTTCCTCTGGTGTGTGGGTGGTTCTGCATGCTATTCTAACACCACAGAGAGCAGGCTGCTGCAGCATTACCACCCCACTCACGGCAGCCCTGCAGGACAGTGGGGAAGGAAAATTCTCCCAGTGATCCGAATTGTAAAGAATGCATCTGCTTTGTTTACTTTGCCTGGGCAAAGAGATGACCAGTTACAGTTAACCCTGATCAATAGGCAGTGGCTAACAGTTTGGCTAGATAACTCAGGGTGAGGAAAGACATGGTGAATTGATGACAAGGAAGTCTGGGAAAGAGGAAGGTGGACGAGTCTCTTGGGAAGGGCACAGATGGTGAGAGTATGTGCATCCCATGTGACTGTTCACCAATGGGCGTTCACTACAGAGGAAATCTTCCATGATGAGGTTGACCAAGCGATCCATTCTGCAGACGTCAGTCAATCTCTTTTTCCAGCTGCTCTAGTGCTCGCTCAGCAGGGACATGGACAAAGCAGACAGGCTGGCAGGGATGAAGCGTATGCAAGGCTCAGTGAGCTGGCCTTCCCCTCACCAAGGCCAAGCTGGACAGATAATCCATGGCTGAGTGCCTCAACTGCTAACAGCAGAGATCAGTGTTGGCCCCGTTATGTGGCACCATTCTCCAGAGAGAATGGCAGATTAATTATATCAGACCTATTTCAACCTAAAGAGAGAGGTGATTTGTCCTCATTGAAAATAGCTGCTTGCCTCCCTTGCACACAATGCTTCCTGCAGCACCACTGTCTTTGGGCTTACCAAATGCCTCATTTATCGTCATGTGTCTCCAACCACATTCTCTGACCAAGGAAATCATAATATGCTGAGAAAATAGCCTCAGAATATCTTTTTCATTTTTCAAATTGAGACATAACTTACATACCATAAAGTGCACAGATCTCATGTGCACATTTTAATGAAGTTTTACATATCTATACACCCTTGTAATCACCACCCAGATCATACACAGAACATTCTCAGCTTCCCCTGTCTGCCCCTGCAAGAAGGCTTTCTCATGCCTTCTCCCGGTCAGCCTTTTCCCCCAAGGCATCCTCAACTCTGACCTTTATTACAACAGGTTAATGTCACATGGCCTTGAACTGCATGTGAATGGAATTATACAGTAGGTACACTTTTGTTTTGACTTCTTTTACTCAACACTGACTATGAGATTCATTAATGTTATTGTGTGATTTCATAGGTTTTTTTTTTCACTACTGGGTAGCATTCCACTGCATGAATATGTCACAATTTACTTACCTGTTCTAATGTTAGTGGACTTTGGGGTTAAATTTCCACCCTGCAGTGGTATGAATGAAGCTGGCATGGTACATGTCTTTTGGTGGACACAGGTATTCATTTCTGCTGGATATTTACTCTCAGGAGTGGAAGTACCGAGTCATAGGGTATGTGTTTAATTTTAGCATTGCCAAACATTTTCCCAAGATAATTGTATCAATTTACACTCCCACTAACAATGTGTGAGAGTTCCAGTTGTTCAATGTCCTTTCCAATACTTGGTACTGGCAGTCTTTCAAATGCTAGTCATTACAGTGTGTGTATGTAGTGGTATCTCATTGCGGTTTTACATTCCACTTCTGATAAGCAGTGATATTGGGTACCTTTTCAAATGTTCACCGGCTGTTTTGATATCCTCTTTTGCTAACTATTTATCAAATATTTTGCCCAATTTAAAATTGCATCATCTTTTTCTTATTGTAGCTCTTTCTGCATTCTGGATATGAGTCGTTTGTTAGCTATATGTGTTGCAATATCTTCTCCCATCTTTGACTTTCCTTTTATAGTTAAGAATATACCTCTTAAAGGTATATGCTGATACTAGGCTTTAATGAAGTCCAAATCATCACACTTTCTTTTAATAGCTAGTGCTTTTTGTGTCTTGCTTAAGTATCTAAGTATCTTTGCCTACCTCAAGGTCACCAAGATATTTTCTGAGGATTAAATGATGACCTTTTTTTTTTTTTTGAGACAGAGTCTTCCTCTGTCGCCCAGGCTGGAGTGCAGTGGCACAATCTCGGCTCACTGCAACCTCCACCTCCCAGATTCAACCGATTCTCCTGCCTCAGCATCCCGAGTAGCTGGGATTATAGGCACTCGCCACCACTCCTGGCTGATTTTTGTATTTATTTAGTAGAGACGGGGTTTCACCATGTTGGCCAGGCTGGTCTCGAACTCCTGACCTCAAGTGATCCACCCGCATTGGCCTCCCAAAGTGCTGGGATTACAGGCGTGAGCCACCACACCCAGCCAAATGATGACGTATTTAAAGGCTCCTGGGATAGTGATTGGTACATAATAAGCACTCAAAAAAAAAAAAAAAAACAAAACCTGAAAGAACAAACAGGAAAACGAATACGTGTGTGGCCCTGATAATACATTCATTATGTGCTTTTGTTTCTTAGACATGTCTTGGTAATATTTATAGCACCATGAGGAAACACAGGGATGAGAAACGTTGACCCTGATGTGGCGGGAAATGGGAGAGAAGATGTCCTGAGGGTGGTTGTCGTGACTCCCCACAACAGAGGCTGAGACTCAGGAAAAACTCACAGAAGCTTTGACTTGAAGTCCCCTCCAAGCCAGTCAAAGTCTCTGAGGTCCTTTTGCTGGTTCTTTTCTTGACCTAGTCCATGTCCATCTCCATGGATCACATCCTGGGAAGCTTCCTATGCTCCATTTTAATTATTTCATGATCATTATTTTTTTCTCCTCCATGACCCCCTCCCACCCATAATATGTTTTGATACCCAATCTATGGCCACAGCCATCTTGTCCTGCCGTGGCCTCCTTGGTGGCTCCCTCTGTGATCCACTCCATGGTGTCCTCAGTGGCCTCCTCCATGTCCATAATGCCCGCCATGATTCACTCCGTAGCCATCTCCATGGATGTGGCTCAGTCCATGGCCCACTCCATATCCAAAGCCGTGTGTTCCTCCATGTCCCATTTCAAGTTCTCCTCCATGAACCAGTGCATTTCCCAGGCTGTGGAATGTCCCAGAGCCCAGGCCCAAGTTCAGGTCCAGACCAAGGCTGTGGCTGTGGCCATGGGGGTAATAAATACCACAATATCTCAGGGGGAAGAAAAGGTCTCTCTAAAAGAAAAAAATAAATACATTGATAAATGAAAATTAAGTCTCCTCTCCCTAATCACCATACATGCCTGTTTCACCAATGTCAGATTTTCACTTTTCCAAACTGCCCATGTTCTCTTCTCTTTACCACCATCCTTACTATGATCTCTGTCTCTGTCTCTCTTTTTCCTTGTTCTTTTACTCTTTCTCCGTCTGACAAAATAAGCTTCCTTGTTACCTTATTAACATATCATCTTTATGTGCGTACTCAGGCCCTAGCTCTGCAGATCATAAGGTTATGTGTTTTTGGACTTCCAAGACAAAGGTAAATCCATACCCCTATGTGAAAGGCACAGAGACTCACTTTACAGACAGTCTTTCTCTTTGTTAGTCAGCTAAGAAAGCTCAGAACAGGTACGTGGAATTGAGAGCTCTAGAAAGCTGTCTACACAGAGCCTTGAGATTATAGGCATGAACTCCAGAATCCAACTAACCTGAGTTAGAGTCTTATATCTGCCACTCACTACATGTGCTGGGGCAAATAGCTAAGATCATGAAGCTCCAGATCCCTTACTTGTAAGATGAATATAATATGGCCACGGGATTGTAGGCCAGATTAAATAACATTATGCATTTTAAACATTCAGCCTTGAGCCTAGCAGGCAGTAAAAACTCAATGTTCACTTTCGTTATTCTCTCTTGATCTTGCAAATGAAATAATAAAGTAATTTAGGGAGTAATTCTTAGATGCTGGTATTTATTATGTAGTCCACATACGGAGAGAGGCTGAGAATTCTAAAACAAAGAACCTCAGCAAATTGACTATATTATCCAAATCTTTTGTGACTTCCGTATTTTTCATTTTGTCCATTTTTACCAGTGGTATGCTGTCCAACACTTAATAACAGGCTCTCCGAGGGAAAAGTGCTGATTTGTAGTGTTTGACAATTGCTGTGGTGTAAGTATTTCCAACCCAGCATATTTTAAGCTACCAGTGTCACATCACTCAGCTCAGAATTGGGAAGAACTGCACAATCTCTTGTGGGCCAGGATGAGCCAGCTCCAGCACACCACTGATTTATACTCTGCTTCACTCCTCAAATGGTAACTTACCCGCAGGATCACAAGAAAACAGGAAGAACATCAATAAATGTGAAATCGATGTAAGAAAAATATGTATTCAAAGAACAATCAAGACCAGAGAGCAGAGATGGAGTGGGAGGTCAGAGAGTAACAGTCACAGGCCACACAAGGAATTGCTGTGAGGACCAGAAATTTGTCATACATGAGACAATCGGAAGCCCGCATTTTGGATGGCTGAACATTTTTATGCTTCTTTCTTTTCTCTATTTCTCTCTCTCTTTCTTTCCTTCTTTCTTTTTTCTTTCTCTTTCTCTCTCAGTTTCTTTCTTTCTTTCTTCCTTTCTTTCTCTTTCTTGCTTTCTTCCTTTCTTCCTCATTCTTTCTCTTTTTCTCTCTCTCTCTCCTTCCTTCCTTCCTACCTTTCTTTTCTTTCTTCCTTCCTTTCGAGACAGGATCTTGCTCTGTCACTCAGGCTGGAGTGCAGTGGCACGATCTCTGCTCACTGCAACCTCCATCTCCCAGGTTCAAGCAATTCTCGTGCCTCAGCCTCCAAAGTAGCTGGGACTACAGGTCCATGCTACCACTCTCGACTAATTTTTGTATTTTTAGTAAAGACAAGTTTCACCATGTTGGCCAGGCTGGTCTCAAATGCCTGGACTCAAGTGATCCGCCCTCCTTGGCCTTCCAAAGTGCTGGAATTACAGGGGTGAGCCACTGCGCCCAGCTGCTTCTTGCTTTCTTTATGTTTATGTCCTCCTTGTTCTCTCTCAGTATTTCCCTTGTTCTGTCAGTATTTCCCTTCACTTTGGCCCCAACTCCATCTTTTCCCTCCTCTTTTTCTACTTTGCTTCTCACTTTCTCTGACTTAAGCATTCTCTCTGGTCCTTATATCAGGCTAGGTGATTCTTTCCTTCTGAGCGCACCAACTTACTCCCCTTTCTCATTCTGGATTTTTCCAAAGCACTGCTGACATGATTCCCCCCTGCCTTCTTGCCAGGCTCCCCTATGAACCCACCCTGGGTACTCACCAGACAAAAACTCAGTCCTACTGACAATCCAACAGCAGCCACAACTGCAGCCAGGGAAATGAGGATGATAGCCCAGGGCTGTAAATATCCACTTGGTTTGATCACGTTTGTGGGTGTGTGGCTCATGCTAACTGTGTTTGTGCCCATGGACACCGGGCCTGTTTCCTGGAAGGTGCTGCTGGTTGGCTCACGGGTGGATCCTGTGGTGGTCCTGACGCCGTGGGCTGAGGTGGTAGATGATGCTCCCATAGTGGATGTACCCAGGCCAGAGGTGTTTAAGACTATTCCTGGCACAGTATGGCTGGCAGCAGAGGCCGTGAAGTCCATTCCAGGGGCCATGGTGACAGAGCTGGAGGCAGTGAGTCTGGTTCCAGTGGTTCTGGTGCCTATGAAACAGGTCACACAAGATGATGCATTTGTAGCAGAGATGATTAAAGGGGAATGGGGGTGCTTAGACCAGAGGAGGGTGAATCTAACAAACCTATGGTGGAGGTGGCTCAGGAGAGGTGTGGTGGGGGAGGAGAGATGGTAGAAAGCGATTCTGCTGTGGCCATGTCCCCAGAATGCAGGTGGGTGTCATACAGAGAAGGAGGTAGAATGTGTCACCTGGTGGAGTTGGTGATGGAGGAGGCAGAAGTTTGAGGAAACGTTATCGCGATGGGTTCAGAAGTGGAAGATCTATTTGACTTCAGAAGTGGCCACCCAAATAGAAGAGGGTGGGCTGATAAAAATGAATGAATTAACAGCATTTGCAGTGACCTGGATGAGATTTTAGACTATTCTTCTAAGTGAAGTAACTCAGGAATGGAAAACCGAACATCGTATGTTCTCACTGATATGTGGGAGCTAAGCTATGGAAATACGAAGACATAAGAATGATGCAATGGACTTTGGGGACTTTGGGGGAAGAGTGGGAGGGGGCGAGGGATAAAAGACTTCAAATATGGTGCAGTGTATACTACTAGGGTGATGGGTGCACCAAAATCTCACAAATCACCACTAAAGAACTTATTCATATAACCAAATACCACCTGCATCCCAATAACTTATGGAAAAAATTGAAAATAAATAAATCAAAGCAGATCAAATAAGTGGGTGGGCTGGTATACAAAGCGGCAGGCCCTGCTTCTTTTGTGACTGTGATCACTGGGTGTAAGGAGGGAGCTGGAGGAGGAGATGGTAGAATTGGATTCACTCATGGGCATGCCAGTGGCCGTGGCTGGGACAGAGGTGACATCATCTACCACACTGTGGTGATCAGCAAAGGTGAGGTGAGTGTGCTTGGGCAGATGTAGGAGGACCTGACCCAAGTGGAGAAGGCTGCTCACAGGGATAGGAGAGGGTGGGCTCAGACAGGTGTGAGCACGAATCAACACAGCAGAGGCGGTGGTGGCGGCTTAGGTAGCGATGGGTGTGCCTAGGTCAGAAGTGGTTAAAATGGGATCACAAACAGCACCAGTCATGAGAATAGAAGTGAGTATGCTTAGAACCAAGAGGATAGAATCAGATGTAACCGGCTTGCTGATGGCAAGTGCCAGAGAATGAACAAAATTGTTTGGTCTCAGACTGGAGCAAAGGTTGCCAAATTTTTTCTGTAAAGGTCCAAACAGCAAATAATTTAGGCTTTTGGGCCAGGCTGTCTCTGTTGCAAATACACGGAAAAGCAGAAAAGCAGCTGGAGACAAACCATAAATGAATGGGCATGACTATGTTCCAGTAAAACTTTACAAAACCAGGTAACAGGTGAGACTTGACCCATGAAATGTGGTCTGCCAGCCTCTGGTCTAGAGTCAATACATTGATAGGAGGTGGCAGTGTCACAGATGGTTGGTTGAATAGAGATAATCTACTTGGCACCGAAGTGGGAGCATTTCACAAAACTGTGATGGGCCAGTAGAGTTGAGGCGGGCTTGCTGGAGGAAGATGTGACAGATATGATGCACTTGTGGTTTACTATATTGTGGTTCTGATTGCAATGGAAGTGGTGGGCACTTAAAAAAAAAGAGGTGAGACCAGAGTAGAGGCAATTAGGATTCCAGAAGAGGACATTTTTTTTTTTTTTTTTTTGAGACGGAGTCTCGCTCTGTCGCCCAGGCTGGAATGCAATGGCGCGATCTCTGCTCACTGCAAGCTCCACCTCCCGGATTCACATCATTCTCCTGCCTCTGCCTTCCGAGTAGCTGGGACTACAGGTGCCCGCCACCACGCCCAGCTAATTTTTTGTATTTTTAGTAGAGACTGGATTTCACCGTGTTAGCCAGGATGGTCTCAATCTCCTGATCTCGTGATTCGCTCGCCTCAGCCTTCCAATGTGCTGGGATTACAGGCATGAGCCACCGCGCCCAGCCTAGAAGAGGAAATTATATCTAACTGTGTGCTGGCTTGACTTGAACCAGGGCAGAGATGATAGAAACAGGTGAACAGCTGGTGGTTGCCACTGGAGTTAAAATGTGTGGGCTCAAAGAAGACATGGGGGTTAGTACCTGACATAGGTGTGTTGGTGATGGGCTGGATAGAAACGTCAGTGGCCTTGGTGAGTACAAACGTGGTGGAAGAGACAGTGGTGGAGGCTGCAGTGGCCCCAGAAGCTGTGATAGAGACTGTGGTGGTCTCAGAGCCTGTGAGGGAAGTTGCAGTGGGCTCCAAGCTTGCAGTGGAAGCTATGGTGGTCTCAGAGCCTATGATGAAGGCAGTGTTGGTCTCAGAGCCTGCACTGGAGGGTGTGGAGGTCTCAGAACCTGTGGTACAGGCTGTGTTGGTCTCAGAGCCTGAAGTGGAGGCTGTGGTGGTCTCAGAGCCTGCAGTGGAGGCTGTGGTGGTCTCAGAGCCTGCAGTGGAGGCTGTGGTGGTCTCAGAGCCTTCAGTAGAGGTGGTGGTGGCCTCAGAGCCTGCAGCAGAGGATGTGGTGGCCTCAGAGCCTATGGTAGAGACTGTGGTGGTCTCAGAGACTGTGGTAAAGACTGTAGTCATCTCAGAGCCTGTGGTAGAGGCTGTGGTGGTCTCAGAGCTAGTGGTAGAAACTGTAGTGGCCTCAGAGCCTTCAGTAGAGGCGGTGGTAGTCTTAGAGCCTGTGATATAGACTGTTGTGGTCTCAGAGCCTGCGGTAGAGGCTGTGGTGGTCCCAGAGCCTGAGGTGGAGACTGTGGTGGTCTCCAAATCTGCGGTAGAGGCTGTGGTGGTCTCAGAGCCCGTGGTAGAGACTGTGGTTGTCTCAGAGCCTTCAGTAGAGGTGGTGGTAGTCTCAGAGCCTGTGGTATAGACTGCTGTGGTCTCAGAACCTGCAGTAGTGACTGTAGTGGTCTCTGAACCTTCAGTAGAGGTGATGGTAGTCTCAGTGCCTGTGGTAGAGACTGTGGTGGTCTCAGAGCCTGTGGAGGAGACTGTAGTGGTCTCAGAGCCTTCAATAGAGGCTGTGGTGGTCTCAGAGCCTGCAGTAGAGACTGTGGTGGTCTCTGAGCCTGCAGTAGAGGCCGTGGTGGTCTCAGAGCCCATAGTAGTGACTGTAGTGGTCTCAGAGCCTTCAGCAGAGACTGTGATGGTCTCAGAGCCTGTGGTAGAAACTGTAGTGAGCTCAGAGCCTTCAGTAGAGGCTGTGGTGGTCTCAGAGCCTTCAGTAGAGGCTGTGGTGGTCTCAGAGCCTGTGGTAGAAACTGTAGTGATCTCAGAGCCTTCAGTAGAGGCTGTGGTGGTCTCAGAGCCTTCAGTAGAGGTGGTGGTAGTCTCAGAGCCTTCAGTAGAGGCTGTGGTGGTCTCAGAGCCTATGGTAGTGGCTGTAGTGGTCTCAGAGCTTTCAGTAGAGGCTGTGGTGGTCTCAGAGCCTTCAGTAGAGGCTGTAGTGGTCTCAGAGCCTTCAGTAGAGGTGGTGGTGGTGGTCTCAGAGCCTGCTGTAGAGGCTGGGATGGTCTCAGAGCCTGCAGTGGAGACTGTGGTGGTCTCAGAGGCTGTGGTAGAGGCTATGGTGGTCTCAGAGTTTTCAGTGAAGACTGTGGTCATTTTAGAGCTTGCAGTGGAGACCTTGGTGGTCTCAGAGCCTATGGTAGAGGCCATAGTGGTCTCAGAGCCCATGATGGATGCCATGGTGGTCTCAGAGCTTGTAGTAGAGGCTGTGGTGGTCTCAGAGCCTGTAGTAGAGGCTGAGGTGGTCTCGGAGCCTTCAGTAGAGGCTGTGGTGGTCTCGGAGCCTTCAGTAGAGGCTGTGGTGGTCTCAGAGCCTGTGATGGAGGCTGTAGTAATCTCAGAGCCTTCAGTAGAAGTGGTGGTGGTCTCTGAACCTGTGGTAGAAACTTTAGTGGTCTCAGAGCCTGTGATGGAGACTGTAGTGGTCCCAGAGCCTTCAGTAGAGACTGTGGTCTCAGAGCCTGTGGCAGATACTGTAGTGGTCTCAGAGCCTTCAGTAGAGGTGATGGTCCTCTCAGAGCCTGTGGTAGAGACCATGGTGGTCTCAGAGTCTGTGGTGGAGACTGTAGTGGTCTCAGAGCCTTCAGTAGAGGCTGTGGTGGTCTCAGAGCTTGTAGTAGAGGCTGTGGTGGTCTCAGAGCCTGTAGTAGAGGCTGAGGTGGTCTCAGAATCTGCAGTAGATGCTGTGGTGTTCTCAGAATCTGCAGTAGAGACTGTGGTGGTCTCAGAGCCTGCAGTGGAGGCTGCAGTGGTCCCAGAGCCTTCAGTAGAGTCTGTGGTGGTCTCAGCACCTGTGGTGGAGACTGTAGTCATCTCAGAGCCTTCAGTGGAAGTGGTGGTGGTCTCCAAGCCTGTGGTGGAAACTGTAGTGGTCTCAGAGCCTGTGGTGGAGACTGTAGTGTTCTCAGAGCCTTCAGTAGAGACTGTGGTCATCTCAGAGCCTGTGGCAGAGACTGCAGTGGTCTCAGAGCCTTCAGTAGAGGCTGTGGTGGTGTCAGAGCCTATGGTAAAGACTGTGGTGGTCTCCAAGCCTGTATTAGAGGCTGTGGTGGTCTCAGAGCCTGTAGTATAGGCTGTTTTGGTCTCAGAGCCTGCGGTAGTGACTGTAGTGGTCTCAGAACCTTCAGTAGAAGCTGTGGTGGTCTCAGAGTCTGAAGTAGAGGCTATTGTGATCTCAGAGCCTTCAGTAGAGGCTGTAGTGGTCTCAAAGACTGTGGTGGAGACTGCAGTCATCTCAGAGCCTTCAGTACAGGTGGTGGTGGTCTCTGAGTCTGTGATAGAAACTGTAGTGGTCTCAGAGCCTGTGGTGGAGACTGTAGTGGCCTCAGAGCCTTCAGTGGAAGCTGTGGTGGTCTCAGAGCCTTCAGTAGAGGCTGTGGTGGTCTCAGAGCCTGTGGTAGAATCTG
This sequence comes from Homo sapiens, assembly GCF_000001405.40. Taxonomy (NCBI): domain Eukaryota; kingdom Metazoa; phylum Chordata; class Mammalia; order Primates; family Hominidae; genus Homo; species Homo sapiens. Next base: position 2,328,013 of record NT_167249.2, on the reverse strand, counting down.
TGCTGGTCTCAGAGCCCATGATGGAGGCTGTGGTGGTCTCAGAGCCTGTGGTAGAGACTGTGGTGGTCTCAGAGCCTACGGTAGAGGCTCTGATTGTCTCAGAGCCTGCAGCAAAGACTGTGGTCACCTCAGAGCTTGCAGTGGAGACCTTGGTGGTCTCAGGGCCTATGGTAGAGGCCATAGTGGTCTCAGAGCCCATGGTGGATGCCATGGTAGGCTCAGAGCCTGTAGTAGAGGCTGCGGTTGTCTCAAACCCTGTAGTAGAGGCTGTGGTAGTCTTAGAATCTTCAGTAAATGCTGTGTTGGTTTCAGAATCTTCAGTAGAGGCTGCAGTGGTCTCAGAGCCTGCAGTGGAGACTGTGGTCTCAGAGCCTGCAGTTGAGACTTTGGTGGTCTCAGAGCCCATGGTGGAGGCTGCAGTCGTCTCAGAATGTGCAGTAGAGGCTGTTGTGGTCTCAGAGCCTGTGGTGGAGACTGTAGTGGTCTCAGAGCCTGCAGTAGAGACTGTGGTGGTCTCTGAGCCTGCAGTAGAGGGTGTGATGGTTTCCGAGCCTGCAGTGAAGACTGTGGTCATCTCAGAGCCTGTGGTAGAGGCTGCAGTGGTCTCAGAATCTGCAGTATAGGCTGTGGTGGTCTCAGAGCCCACGGTGGAGACTGTGGTGGTCTCAGAGCCTGCAGTAGAGGTGACGGTGGTCTCAGAGCTTGTAGTAGAGTTTGTGGTGGTCTCTGAGCCCATGGCAGAGACCATGGTGGTCTCAGTGCCTGTGATAGAGACTGTAGTGGTCTCAGAGCCTGCAGTGGAGATGGTGCTCTCAGAGCCTGCCATAGAAGCTGTGGTGGTCCCAGAGCCTGCACTAGAGACTGTGGTGTTCTCGGATCCTGCCGTAGAGGTGGTGGTGATCTCAGAACCTGAAATAGAGACTATGGTGGTCTGAGAGCCTGTGGGGGAGGGGGTGGTGGTCTCAGAACCTGCTGTAGAGGCTGTGGTGGTCTCAGAGGCTTTAATCAGGATTGTAGTGGTCTCAGAGCCTGTGGTAGAGGCTGTGGTGGTGTTAGAGCCTGCAGCGGGGGCCACAGTGGTCTCAGAGCTCATGCTGGATGCCGTGATCACCTTGGAGTCTGCAGTTGAGGTTGTGGTGGCCTCAGAGCCTGCCATGGAGGTGGAGGTAGTGGTGGTCTCAGAACCTGCAGTAGATGCTGTGGTGGTTTCAGAGCCTGTGGTAGAGACTTTAGTGGCCTCAGAGCTTGCAGTGGAGGTGGTGGTGGTCTCAGAGCCTGTGGTAGAGACTGTGGCAGTCTCAGAGCCTGTGGTGGAGGCCATGGTGGTCTCAGAAATTATGGAGGAGGCCATCGTTTTCTCAGAGCCTGCAGTGGAGGTTGTGCTGGAGGCCATGGTAGTCTCAGGGACTGTAGTGGAGGCTATAGTAAAGGTTGTTGTGGTCCCAGAGACTGTGGTGGAGGCCACGATAGTTTCAGAGCCTGCAGTGGAGCCTGTGGTTGTGTCAGAGCCTGTGGTGAAGGTCCTAGTGGAGGCTATAGTAGTCCCTGAGTCTGTGGTGGAGGCCGTGTTGGTCTCAGAGCCTGTGGTGAAGGCTGCAGTAGAAGCCATGGTGGAGGCTGAGGTTGTCTCAGAGCCTGTGGTAGAGTCTGTGGTGATCTTAGAGCCTGTAGTTAAGGCCGTAGTAGAGGCCATGGTGGAGGCCATGGTGGTCTCAGAGCCTGTGATGGAGGCTGTGGTGGTGTCGGAGCCTTTTGTGAAGGCTGTGGTATTCTCAGAGCCTGAGGTGGAGAACAAATAAGGTGGTGGGAATGGATTAAAGATGAATTTGCAGGTTTAGTATAGTGTTACTTTCACATATACTCAGTACTTCTTATTCATTTATTTATTCAGTTATTGAGGGCTTAACATGTACCTGGTATTTTACTAAACTCTGGGCATACTCCTGTCAGCAAAAGGGATATGGGCTTATAATTTAGTAAAGAAGAGAGCTACAACATAAAATATAAATACACATTGGCTTAAGTGCTGTTAAAGAAAGCAGTGGTGCTGCTTTAGATACTGGAGTCAGAAAAGGTCTCTCTGAGGAACTGACATATGAACTGAGATCTGAAGGATAAGAAGGCAGCCATTTGGGCTGGGCGCAGTGGCTCAAGCCTGTAATCCCAGGCGGATCACCTGAGGCCGGGAGTTCAAGACCAGCCTGACCAATATGGAGAAACCCCATCTCTACTAAAAATACAAAATTAGCCAGGCATGGTGGCGCATGCCTATAATCCCAGCTATTCAGGAGGCTGAGGCAGGAGAATCACTTGAACCGGAAGGCGGAGGTTGCGGTGAGCCAAGATTGCACCACTGCACTCCAGCCTGGCCAACAAGGGCAAAACTCCATCTTAAAAAAAAAAAAAAAAAAAGAAGGCAGCAATTTGAAAGGCCAGGAGAAGGACATCACAGATTGATAGCATAAGTACAAATACCCTGAGTTGTTAATGAGCTCGATGTGATTCATGAATAAATAGGAGACCAGGGTGGCTGGAATGTAGTTACTGAAGGAGAAAACGAGGCGGTAGAGAGACCTTTTCTAACCATAATCTCTGAAGCAGGACCCCTGCCTTTTTAACAACACATAACCCAAAGGTGTATTTACATTCTTTATATTCTAAACTCTTCTTTACAAGAACATAAGCCCACATTTCTTTTGCTGACAGGGGTATACTCAGAGTTTAGCAAAATACCATGGTAGAAAGGTTAAATTTCATCTCAAATACAATGAAGACCCACTGGAATAACATACTCTGGTTAATTTCTCTTTGTTTTTATTTTGAAAAAAAAATCACAAATTCTTTTGTAACAAGTATAACACAAAGAACCCTTTTCCCTGAATCATTTGGGAGTTACTTGGTAACCTGATGTCTCATTATCCTTCAATACTTTATATATTCTCATACGCAACCATAATACAGCCATCAAGATCAAGAAATTCACATGAATATATTGCTGCCACCTGATCCTTAGATCCCTTTCAAGTTTTGTTAGTTGTTCTAATAATGTCTTTAATAGTAAACCAGTTCAATTCAGAATCGTGTGTTGTTTTTCGTTGTTCTGTCTCTTTAGTCTTCTTCAGTCTGGTGCAGTTCTTCAGTCTTCCTTTGATCTTCATAACTTTTAACCTTTGAAGATTACAGGTCAATTATTTTATAGAATTTTCCTTAAACTGAGTTTTTGTAATGTTTCATCATGATTAGGCTCATGTTATTAATCTTTGCCAGGAAAACCACTGAAGTGATGCTGTATTCTTCTCTTTGCATACTATCAGGTGACAGATAATATCAATGTGTCCCATCATTGATGATGTTCTCTTGGATTACTTGATTAAGAAGGTGTATCCAGGCTGGTTTTTCTCCCTTTGTGGTTAGTAAATATTGTGTTGTGATTATAATTATGAAATGTCTCTCTTTATCCCTAATAATATACCTCTTCTTAAGCCTATTTTGTCTGATTTTGAAATAGTCACTCAATTTTTTTCTAAATTGATGTTAGCATGGCTAACATACAGTATGGCCGTATCTTTCTTCCTCTTATTTTTATCCTATTGTTTACCCTATTTGTAGTTATAGTTAGTTAAAATGTATTTCTTGGTTGAATATTATTTATTTGGGGCTTTCTTTTTTAACCAATGTGTCAATCTCTGCCTTTTAATTGTGGTGTCTGGACCATATACATTTAATGTAATTATAAATACGTTGGGTCTGATTCTTTTTTAGAGACAGAGTCTTGCTCTGTCACTCAGGCTATAATGCAGTGGCACAATCACGGCTGACTGCAGCCTTGACTTTCTAAGCTCAAGAAATCCTCCTGCCTCAGCCTCCGAACTATCTAGGATCACAGGCACGAGTCATGATGCCTGGCTAATTACTTTTTAATTTTTATTTCTTGTAAAGATGGGGTCTCCCTATGTTGCCTGGGCTTGTCTCGAACTCCTGGGCTCAAGTAATCTTCCTGCCTCAGCCCCAAAAAGTGCTGGAATTACAAGTGTGAACCACTGTAGCTGGCCCTGAATTTAATAGTCTTCATATTTGTTTTCTATTTTTCTCGTCTGATCTTCTTACCTTTTCCTCCATTTTTCGCCTTTTTTTTTTTTTAATTAACCCAGTATTTTGTTTTTTGTTTTGTTTTGTTTTTTGAGCGTCTTGACCTGTCACTCAGGCTGGAGTGCAGTGATGGGATCTCAGCTCACTGCCAATTCCACTTCCCAGGTTCAAGTGATTCTCCTGCCTCAGCCTCCTGAGTAGCTGGAACCACAGGCATGCGCCACCACGCCCAGCTAATTTTTGTATTTTTAGTAGAGACAGGGTTTCACCACGTTGCCCAGGCTGGTCTCTAACTCCTGGTCTCAAGTGATCCACCTGCCTCAGCCTCCCAAAGGGCTAGGATTACAGGCATAAACCGCTGCACCATGACCTGAGTCATTTTTGACCCCATTTTATTTCCACCATTAGCTTATTAAATATCATTCTTATTTGTGTGCCTTTGCTCTAGGATTTACGATATACACCTTTATCACTGTCTACCTCCCAGTGAGCTCATTCCTCTTCATGTAAAGGCATGAGAGTCTCAACACAGTACACTTCCATTTCCTTTTTCTATCCCTTGTACCACTGTTGTCATACATTTTATGTCTACATATAAGCCTCATAATTCATTATTACTCAAGTATATTATCTTTTAAATTTAAATGAAAAAAATTTTATTTTTACCCATATATTTATCATTTCCAGCACACTTCATTCTTTTTTGCATAGATCTAAATTTTTTCTTCCTGAAGAACTTTTACATTTAAAAAAAAATGTCAGTCTTGCCTGTCGATTCACGCCTGTAATCCCAGCATTTTGGGAAGCAGAGGCAGGCAGATCACCAGGAGTTCGATACCAGCCTAACCAAAATTGAGAACCCCCATCTGTACTAAAAATACAAAATTAGCCAGGCATGGTGTGGCTAATTACATGCCTGTAATCCCAGCTACTCGAGAGGCTGAGGCAGGAGAATCGCTTGAACCCAGTGTGTCCGGAATTGGTGGGTTCTTGGTCTCACTGACTTCAAGAATGAAGCCACAGACCCTCACAGTGAGTGTTACAGCTCTTAAGGTGGCATGTCTGGAGTTTGCTCCTTCTGATGTTCAGATGTGTTCGGAGTTTCTTCCTTCTGGTGGGTTTGTGCTCTCGCTGGCTCATGAGTGAAGCTGCAAACCTTCACAGTGAGTGTTAGCAACTCTTAAGGCCATGCGTGTGGAATTGTTCCTTCCTCTCAGTGGGCTCGTGGGCTCGCTGGCTTCAGAAGTGAAGCTGCAGACCTTTACGGTGAGTGTTACAGATCATAAAAACAGTGTAGACCCAAAAAGTGAGCAGTAGCAAAATCTATTGCAAAGAGCAAAAGAACAAAGTTTCCACAGTGTGGAAAACGACCCAAGCAGGTTGCCACTGCTGGCTCGGGCAGCCTGCTTTTATTCTCTTATCTGGCCCCACCCACATCCTGCTGATTGGTAGAGCCGAGTGGTCTGTTTTGACAGGGTGCTGATTGGTGCGTTTACAATCCCTGAGCTACATACAAAGGTTCTCCACGTCCCCATCAGATTAGTTAGATACAGAATATGGACACAGAGGTCCTCCAAGGCCCCTCCAGAGCAGCTAGATACAGAGTGTCGATTGGTGCACTCACAAACTTTGAGCTAAACACAGGGTGCTGATTGGTGTGTTTACAAACCTTGAGCTAGATACAGAGTGCCAATTGGTGTATTTACAATCCCTGAGCTAGACATAAAGGTTCTCCAAGGCCCCACGAGAGCAGCTAGATACAGAGTGTTGATTGGTGCACTCACAAACCCTGAGCTAGACACAGGGTGCTGATTGGTGTGTTTACAAACCTTGAGCTAGATACAGAGTGCCGATTGGTGTATTTACAATCCCTGAGCTAGACATAAAGGTTCTCCAAGGCCCTACCAGAGCAGCTAGATACAGAGTGTCCATTGGTGTACTCACAAATCCTGAGCTACACACAGGGTGCTGATTGGTGTATTTACAATCCCTAAGCTAGACATAAAGACTCTCCACGTCCTCACCAGACTCAGGAGCCCAGCTGGCTTCACCCAGTGGATCCCGCCCCGGGGCCGCAGGTGGAGCTGCCTGCCAGTCCTACGCCATGCGCTCACAGTCCTCAGCCCGTGGGCGGTCGGTGGGACTGGGCGCCCTGGAGCAGGGGGCGGCGCTCATCGGGGAGGCTCCGGCCGCACAGAAGCCCATGGAGGGGGTGGGAGGCTCAGGCATGGCGGGCTGCAGGTCCCCAGCCCTGCCGCATGGGAAGGCAGCTAAGGCCCAGTGAGAAATCCAGTGCAGCGCCAGTGGGCCGGCACTGCTGGGGGACCTAGTACACCCTCCGCAGCCACTGGCCCGGGTGCTAAGCCCCTCACTGCCCGGGGCCTGCAGGGCCCGCTGGCTGCTTCGAGTGCGGGGCCGCCAAGCCCACGCCTACCTGGAACTGCAGCTGGCCCGCAAGCGCCGCGCACAGTCCCGGTTCCCGCTCGCACCTCTCCCTCCACACCTCCCTGCAAGCTGAGGGAGCCGGCTCTGGCCTCGGCCAGCCCAGAAAGGGACTCCCACAGTGCAGCGGTGGGCTGAAGGGCTCCTCAAGTGCCGCCAAAGTGGGAGCCCAGGCAGAGGAGGTGCTGAGAGCAAGCGAGGGCTCTGAGGACTGCCAGCACGCTGTCACCTCTCACCGGGAGGCAGAGGTTGCAGTGAGCCAAGATCGTGCCATTACACTCCAGCCTGGGGCAACAAGAGCGAAACTCCGTATCAAAAAAAAAAAAAAAAAAAAAGTCAATTTCCAGGAGGCAAGGTCTTCCAGTTTTTGCTTGTCTAGAAAAGCCTTCATTTCATCTTCATATTGAAAATATTCTTACTCCGTGTAATTCTAGGTTGATAAAGTATTTTTTTCTTTCAGTATTTTAATGATGTTGCTTCTTTATCTTCTGGTTGTCATGGTTTTTCACAGGAAGTCTGTTATGCTTGTCTTTGCTTCTCTCTATACAATGTGTCTTTTCTAGCTCGTTCTAGGATTTCCCTTTTATCACTGATTTTTAGTTATTTGATTACGTTGTACTTTGGTATGATTTTTTAAAGTTTATTTTGCTTGATATTTGTTGAGTTCTTGGGATCTGTGAGTTTATAGTTTTCATCAAATTTAATTTTTTCAGCTACTATTTCTTTAAACATGTTTTCGGTTCCCTTTTTTTCTGGAACTTCAATAACACATATTGTAGACAAAACATTGTCTCACAAAATCACTGGTATTCTATTCATTCATTTTCAGCCCATACTCCCTCCACCCCATACTCCCTCTCACCCTCACAAGATTCTGACAAAACATGCCAGGCTGCCACTCTGTGGAGAAGTCCACTTCATCCAATTTAGTTTCTTGCTCTGTCACCCAGGCTGGAGTGCAGTGGTGCTATCTCGGCTCATTGCAACTTCCACCTCCCGGGTTCAAGGGATTCTCCTGCCTCAGCCTCCTGAGTAGCTGGAAATACAGACATGCGCTACCACACCCAGCTAATTTTTGTATTTCTAGTAGAAACAGAGTTTTGCCATGTTGGCCAGGCTGCCCTCGAACTCCTGACCTCAGGTGATCTGCCCACCTCAGCCTCCCAAAGTGCTAGGATTACAGGCGTGAGCCACCGCACCCGGCCCAGTTCAGTTTCTTATATCCTTCTCTGGGCCACTGCTGTCTCCCCTCCTGTCCAACCCTGATATCTGCTTTGCTCTGCCTCACCTAATGATCTGGGGCTTAATCATTCAGGAAGGGAAGAGAAAGTAGAAAACAAAATTGATTTATGTTTTTAAAAGATGCTGTGTGAAAACTGGCATGTAGGAGGGCAAGAGTGAAAAAATTAAGAGCAGTAATTATTGCTTGAACTAGGATGGTAGCAGGGGAGATACATTTCAGTGGATGAATACAAGCTATGTTTTGAAATTAGAAAAGTAGAACCAATAGGAAGTGTTGAAAGGCTGCATGTGGTGGATGACACGAAAAGAAGTCAAGAACAACTTCTAGCTTTGGGGCTTACGCAGAGTTGGAAATTAGTTCTATTTATCTGAATGAATAGGGATGAAGTGGAAGTTGGAAATATTAGACTTTGAACTTTTTGTGCCCATTAGATATCCAGGAGACTGTTGGCAGTTGGAAACCTGCACTTAGTTCTTAGAGGAGAAATCAGATCAAAAGACGTGAAACTGGAAGTCATTTAAATATACATTGTATTTAAAGCCATGAAGCTGACTGAGATCACTTGTCTGGGAGAGTATGTTGGAGAATAGGGCGCTGGACCAAGCTCTGGCCACTGCATCACTCAGATAGAGGAGGAGACGCAAATGAATGAGACTGAGAAGGAGCATCCACTAAGGCAGAAAGAAAACTCTAAAAAGTGAATCAAGGAAGTCAAGAGAATAGAGAGGCTCTAGAAAAATATGGCAGTTAGCTGAATTGATTTTTGCAGAGAGATCAAGTAAGATATGGCCTGGGCCATGTCCATTGGATTCAGAGACAATATGGACGTGAGTTTAGTTTATTGAAAACAGATTTGCATGATGGGGTAGACCCCAATTGGAATGAATAAAAGAATAAGTATATATGGAGGCTTACGGATTTCATAGAAGAATAAAAAGTAGAGAAATAACAAAACACATACCTCCACAAGGACAAACGATGGAGAGATAACAGCAGAGGAGATATTTTTGTTTTTTTGAAGGTAATAGGCAGATGAGTGGTAACTCTCCAACACAACAGAGAAAGCTTCAACATACAGGCCTCCATTGGGGGTGAGAGTAAGTCAACTACTGGTAGATTATTAATTCTGTGGAATCCTGGAAAGATTCGGGAATTGCAACTGGGTTCCTCTAAAGATTTGGGTGTGGCATGTGACTAAATACAGGAAGGATAGTTGAAATACAATGTAGCTAGGAACTGTCTCTCAGCTCCAGATCACTCCTTCCACTCAGGGACTTGGATGAATACACCTCTCTTCCTTTTAACAGCTTAGGGTTTTATCTCTGGAGATACTGAAACCAAAGAAACTCTAGATCAGTAATCCCAGGCACTGCTGAAGGCAGGAGTGAAAGTGTATCCAGAATTGGTGGGTTCTTGGTCTGACTTCAACAATGAAGCCGTGGACACTCGCCGTGAGTGTCACAGTTCTTACAAGTGGTGTGTCCTGAGTTTGTTCCTTCTGATGTTCAGATGTGTTCGGCGTTTCTTCTGGTGGGTTCGTGATCTCACTGGCCTCAGGAGTGAAACTGCAGATTTTCGCAGTGAGTGTTACAACTCATAAACGCAGTGTGGACTCAAAGAGTGAGCAGCAGCAATATTTATCACAAAGAGTGAAAGAACAAAGTTTCCACACTATAGAAGAGTACCCAAGCGGATTGCCACTGCTGGCTCAGGGCAGCCTGCTTTTATTCCCTTATCTGGTGGCACCCACATCCTACTGATTGGTCCATTTTACGGAGCGCCGATTGGTTTTACAGAGAGCTGATTGGTCTGTTTTGACAAGGTGCTGATTGGTGTGTTTACAATCCCTGAGCTAGACACAAAAGTTCTCCAAGTCCCCACAGAGCACTGATTGGTGCATTTACAAACCTTGAGCTATACACAGGGTGCTGATTGGTATGTTTACAAACCTTGAGCGAGACACAGGGTGCTGATTGGTGTATTTACAATCCCTTAGCTAGACATAAAGATTCTCCAAGTCCCCACCAGATTAGCTAGACACAGGGTGCTTACTGGTGTGTTTACAAACCTTGAGCTAGACACAGAGTGCTGATTGGTGTATTTACAATCCCTTAGCTAGACATAAAGATTCTCTGAGTCCCCACCAGATTAGCTAGACACAGGGTGCTGATTGGTGCATTTGCAAACCTTGAGCTAGACACAGAGTGCTGATTGGTGTATTTACAATCCCTTAGCTAGACATAAAGGTTCTCCAAGTCCCCACTACACTCAGGAGCCCAGCTGGCCTCACCTAGTGGATCCCGCACCTGGGCCGCAGATGGAGCTGCCCGTCAGTCCCACGCCGTGCGCCAGTACTCCTCAGCCCTTGGGCAGTCTATGGGACCGGGTGCCGCAAAGCAAGGGGCAGCGCTCGTCTGGGAGGTTCTGGCTGCACAGGAGCCCATGGCGGCGTGGGGGAGGCTCAGGCATGGCGGGCTGCAGGTCCCAAGCCGTGCCCCTCAGGGAGGCAGCTGAGGTCCGGCGAGAATTGGAGCGCAGCACCCGCTGGCACTGCTGGGGAACCTGGCGCACCCTCCGCAGCTGCTGGCCCGGGTGCTAAGTTCCTCACTGCCTGGGGCCAGCTGTGCTGGCCACGCCAGCCCGAGGCTCAGAGTGTGGGGCCCCCCGAGGCCACGCCCACCTGGAACTAGTGCTGGCCCGCAAGTGCTGCAGGCAGCCCGGGTTCCCGCCCGTGCCTCTCCCTCCACACCTCCCTGAAAGCTGAGAGAGCTGGCTCCGGCCTCGGCCAGCCCAGAGAGGGTCTCCCACAGTGCAGCGGGGGGCTGAAGGGCCCCTCAAGCGCAGCCAGAATGGGTGGCGAGGCCGAGGAGGCTCCGAGACTGAGCGAGGGCTGCCAGCACCCTGTCACCTCTCAAAAGGTTTTACTGAAACTATGCAATTAAGGAAATGCTTACACCCTGAAATGTAAAACCCACATTACCTATTCCCTTGCTCAGCTTCCAGCACTTCAGCAGCTATGCTAGTATGCTCTAGACAGGATCTGGAGAATTCTTCTTGTGGAAAGAAATTAGCCAACACTAGATACTGACATTTTGAGGATCTTCCCAATCTAAACTGCCACGTCTCTGCTAAATTACCCTAAAGCTAAGTCCACCAGTTGACAGGCCCTACCCCTGCTCACAGAGCTTCCAGGCATCATATTAGTGCCTCACTCAAATGCAAAGGACATTCTGGGATTACCAGATATTTGAGAAAAATCTCTAGCTTGAAATATAGAGACCAAAACAAATATCCCTATGAAGCAAAGCCAGAGAGAACTGAGACAATGCAAACAGCAAAACCAACTTCAAATGTCCTCAGCAATATAAGAGAAAGTATAGCACCCACAAAAAAAAAAAAAAAGTAAGAGATGCCATCTTAAAAATGGTTGTAGAGAAAAAAAAGATCTCTTTGAAAAAAAAAAACCTCAAAATTCACTAGAAGGATTTGAAGACTTTAGAAGCTGAGGAAATCTCCCCAGAAGAAAAATAAAACGACAGAGTTGGAAGACAGAAGAAGAAATATAAGAAAATTAGAGTGTCAGCCCAGGAGGTCAAACATCCAAATTATAAGATTTTTTCAGAAAGACAGAACAGAGAAAATGGACGAGAGGCAATTATCAAAGAAAAAAATGCAATAAAATTTCCCAGAACTGACTGATACAACTTTCTACTGTGCAAATTCCTAACACGATGAAAGAATCCATACTATGACACCATATCATGAGATTTTAGAACAGTAGTTTTAAAAATCTGAAATCCTCCAGAATAAAAAGAATGGGTCTTTTACAAGAGGTCAGTAATCTAAATATCAGACTTCACAATCTAGAATCTAGGAATAGTGGATCAACGCCTTTAAAATCCTGAGAAAAATCATATCCATCCTAGAATTCTATAACCAGCTAAACTATGAGTCAAATGTGAGAGTGGAATAAGACATTTTCAGACGTATAAGGTCTATGGACAGCTGGGCCCATTTTTCTCTTCTTCCTGGGCACATGGCTAAGTTACATTTGTCAACCTCTCTTGTAGCTAGGTAGGGCTACATGTCTAAGCCCTAGTCAGAGGCCCCTGAAGGGAAGGAATACATATTAATTTCCACTTCATTTCTTTAAGAGTAAATACCTATTCCTTGATTTCTGCTTGTATATATATTTTTAATTTCTGTATATTATCATGTTTTGACATCTTAACAAACTTTTCTAGCTAGGGAGAGACAGGACCTTCCAGGGCTAGCCAATTCTTAAAAGTAGCAAAGGGCCCAGCCAGGAGCATGAGCTGATATGCAGACTAACCATTCCAGAGCCATAGCTCCTCTATCTGGCCCATATACTCCAGGAAACAATATTTATCTGCCTTAGTCATTCCAAAGTCAAGTACTAGGCAACTAGGTGGTAATCAGCCATATAGCTCAACGAACACAGGAATTATTCAAACCAGCCAATCCTAAACTGTTCACCCTGCCTTTCCTTGCCTTTCCCACAGAAACCCAATAAAAGGAAAGACATAAATCTTTCCTTCACTTGTCTTCTGCCTCCTGACTACCTTGATGTCTTTCTCAGGTGGTCCCGCATGGCAGTGCCATGCCTCCTGTCTCTAGGGCCTGTAAGCCTCTCCTCTTGTGGCTGCACTTTGACTGACTGTATCATAAAATAATACAAAATACTGTTTTTCTTCCCTCTCCTTGGGCTGAAATGATGATGACACTGGAAACCATACGTTGAAGACGGAAGAACCATATTCACCCAGGATCCCTGAATGACTGCATGGAGCAGAGCTCCCACCATCCTATAATACTTACCTTAGGACTGGTACAAGGGAGAAAAATAAACTTGTTTTTCAAAGCCACTTTCGGGATCTCCTTGTTACAGCAGCTTAGCATTACCCTAACAGTGCATAAGGTTTTAAAATAATTTCCCACCATAAACTCTCTCTCTCAGGAAGCTTCTAGAGAAAGTGATGCTCCAAGATGGAAAAATAAAGCCAGAAAAAAGATAAGAATTTACAAGGGAAAAAAGGGAATTTCCAGAATGTTGCTGAATACAGATTGCAGGACAAGAGACCTAGCAAGCAACCAGTACTGGTTGGACAGAGGCTTCTAAATGGGATTGTTCTGGTTGGACAGAGGCTTCCAAATGGGATTGCTCAAGGGAAAAAAGTGAAACTGATAGATTGCCTCATGTGTTTGGAAAAGACAGGGATACTTCTGGTGGAGGTTTTGGGATGAATTAATTACATATATGAAGAAAACTATGGACATTTTAAAAATGAGGCTATTATTAATATCTAGAAAAACAAAAATTACAAGAACGGATGGTCATCACAATGCAATTATATGACCCAGTTATAAATGTTACTAGAGGTCATTTATACTTATTATAATGTCATCACAATGCAATTATATGACCCAGTTATAAATGTTACTAGAGGTAAAATTTATAGTTATCATAATGTAAACACTAAATGCTAGTTTAACACCAAAAATTTGATACAGTCATTTGGGGAGAATTGTGAGCGGGAATGTGAGACAGTAAGTGTGTAGGGGGAGTGGTCTAACCTAAATCTTTCTTTTCATTAGAAGGAAGACAATAAATCATGCCCAAAGCAGGAAAAAAATCCCAAAAAACCTCAACCAACAAAGAAGTAATGGTAGTAAGAGAATTTATGGCCGGGTGCAATGGCTCACGCCTGTAATCCCAGTGCTTTGGAAAGCTGAGGTGAGAGGATCCCTTGAGCCCGGGAGTACCAGGCTGCAGTGAGCTATGATGGTGTCTCTGCATTCCTGCCTGGGTGACAGAGTGAGATCTTGTCTCTAAATAAATAGATAAATGCAGTATGAACGTAAATGCCAACAGGAACCCTGGGAAGCAGGACTCAGAATAAGAAGCAATTGGGGCAAGGGAATCAGGGGCTGAAGTTTTATGAGAAGCCTTGTAGGACTACAAGTATTTCTTTTTCAGAACTGCTTACATCCATTACCTAATACAATAAAATAAAATAAACAAGTGAGTGGGAGGTGAGAAGTGACATAGCAAGTGTGGGGAAGTCCTTCAAGAATGGGGGTGAGGGGCCGGGCCCGGTAGCTCACACCCGTAATCCCAGCACTTTGGGAGGCCAAGGTGGGTAGATTGTCTGAGCTCAGGAGTTCGAGTCCAGCCTGGGCAACACAATGAAACCCCGTCTCTACTAAAATACAAAAAATTAGCTGGGCGTGGCGGTGTGCGCCTGTAGTCCCAGCTACTCAGGAGGCTGAGGCAGGAGAATCGCTTGAACCTGGGAGGCAGAGGTTGCAGTGAGCCGAGATTGCAGCACTGCACTCTAGCCTGGGCGACAGAGCCACACTCCATCTCCAAAAAAAAAAAAAAAGAATGGGGGTGAGGAGGAGAGTGGAGGGAGAGGTGGTGGCTGAGGAGTGATGCGGGGACGTTAGGATGGACATCATTCAGTGTTTGGTCCAGGGACCTCTGGGATCACACTGTCTGAAGAACCCACGCCATCCCACCAAGCTTACTGAATCAAGATCTTACTTGGTGGGGTGTCAGGGCCTGGAAACCCAAGTTTTTAATCGTCTCCTTGGATGATACTTGTGCATACAGAACTGAGCTTGTTTGGATGCTGATGGAAAGGACCCAAGAAAGGTAAAGTGAGATGGGAGGGGAAGGAGAAATGTACTGAGCAAAGCCCCTGAGACGGCAGGAGGGTGAGACGGCGCCCAGCATTCAGATGGAGGAGTTGGTCCTTGCTAATCCACTGTAATGGGGCTACAGGAGACACTGTTGGTTACTTTATAGATCTAGTGGTAGGAAAAGAGGAGGGGCCTTTCAGCCCTTGCACACTTGCTCCCTTTTGTTAGGAAATATTATTTAAGTCTATGTTTTACAGTAGACCAAGTGTTCCATGGGGGTCAAGACCATGGCATTTCCCACTCCATTCCTCACCATGGCCTAGCACGCAGCAGTGCCTGGCCCAGAGGAGGAGCTCTATAAATGTTTGTTGAATGACTACATGAATGACAGTTTCTTCTGAGGTAAGGGGACTCTTGTTTAAAATCAGACAGATAGGACTGGAGTTCAGGATTAGGACAGGCGACGGGCAGATCTGGAAGGCATGGGTAGGTAGAGAACAGTTGAAGCATTCAGGGTGAAGGCAAGGGGAAAGAGAAGAAAAAGAACGCCGAGGGAAGTGCTGAAGCGGGCGAGGGAGCGAATCCAGAGTGGGGTGCAGGAAACAGATGCATACTGAGGAAGAAGGGGGAAGCACTCCAAATCCTCCACATCATCCAACCTATACCTTCTCTTTCAACCGCACCTCCCACTTCTTGACGAGCCATCCTACAGTAAAGGCAATGGAATGGATGAGCCAATTAACCTGGTGTCTCATAATTAGGGAAGATATGTTGATGTAAGAAATCAAAGACTGGAGTGAACAGTACTATCTCAGACAGCCCATTGGAGTCACACGGAGCCCAATTCACTTCTCCCCTGGGCTGTTTCCTTTCACAGCCATTGCTGATCCAATGTCAGAGCCAACCCCTCAGTGGCCGAACTCCGGTTTGTTTCTACCAGGGAAGTTCTCAGGGGATTATACATGGATTTGGAATCAGGCAGCATCCGAAGAAGGGTTGAAGCAAAAAATCAAAAAACAGTAGATGTTGGCGTAGATGCAGTGATCAGGGAACACTTCTACACTGCTAGTGGGAATGTAAACTAGTACAGTCACTATGGAAAACAGTGTGGAGATTTCTTAAAGAACTAAAAGTAGATCTACCATTTGATCCAGTAATCCCACTACTGGGTATCTACCCAGAGGAAAAGAAGTCATTATACAAAAAAGACACTTGCACACACATGTTTATAGCAGCACAATTCACAATTGCAAAGTCATGGAACCCAAATGCCCATCAATCAACGGTGGATAAAGAAACTGGCATATATATACGATGGAATACTACTCAGCCATAAAAAGGAATGAATTAATGGCATTTGCAGTGACCTGGATGAGACTGTAGACTATTATTCTAAGTGAAGTTACTCAGGAATGGAAAACCAAACATCGTATGTTCTCACTGAGAGGTGGGAGCTAAGCTGTGAGGACTCAAACGCATGAGAATGATACAATGGACTTTGGGCACTAGGGAGGAAGGACGGGGGAGGCACGAGAGATAAAAGACTACAGATAGGGTGGGTGCAGTGTACACTGCTTGGTGACGGGTGCACCAAAGTCTCACAATTCACCAATAAAGCACTTACATAACCAAATATCACCTGTACCCAAATAACCTATGGAAAAAAAACAAAGAAGGATTGAAGGATTTTTACTTGACTTTAGACTGAGATCCTGGTTTTAATTTGGAATTAAGAATGCTATTGGAACTAGAGTTTTCCGGTTAAAAAAAAAACTTTTATCCAAGATACAAAGGAAAGTAAAATCTCACCCCACTCCATTTCCCCAGCACCGCCCCACCGCCCCACCACATGTGCTCACAACCACAGCTGGGGGAGACTAATACAGATTTGCTTCTAAGATAGCATCAGAATCATGGTCAGTGGAATTGGGATCAGTACTGGCTTTTGCAGAAATGGGCAAAAAAAAAAAAAAAATGAATCATCATTGTTTCTGGAAGAAGAGTCATGCCTGGGCAGGGGATTCCCCATCTCCTTCAGGGCTTATGTGGCCTCCATGCCCCTCTCCCTCCTTAACTGCTAAGTCACTTACTGGGTCCCAGAAGTCCAAAGAGAAGCAGCCACAGGAACCAGAAAGCAGGAGAGATATTTCCTCTTCTCATCTCTAAATGATGCACATAGAAGTTGTCATTTAGATGCCTGGGTTCCAAAGGAAGGATAGGTCAAAGAGGCAGAGAGACAAGGGGCAAACCCCCTGGGCCTTGATAGAAAATAAAGTTGCACAAAAAGACCCAAAGGCCAGCCAGTGCCAGGGTAAGCCTTGTAGGCAGATGGCATGGTTGGGGGGAGCCCCCAAATTGCTCCACAGTTTGGCTTCTTATTTTTCTTCTTTTTTCCTCGCAAACGTGTCTGTGGCATTTATAGCTGATACTGAGTAGGGGAGGCCAGAACTTTGGGTCCTCCCTCCCCAGGGAGGGGCATTTCTGCGCTGTGCTTTCTGCAGGGCCGTTTGGAGAGATGTACCCTACAGGAATCAAGGCGGAGGAGAGAGCAGAGTCGGCAAGACCAGAGGGCGCACACATGAGGAGGGGCAGGGAGGGAGGCAGAATGAGGGGATCAAATTTGTCGGAGTGGAAGGGACCCACCCTTTGAACCAGAGCTGACCTGAAACCTGTTTTCCCTGGGTATGCCTCATTTTCAAAGCAGGAGGCCTTTGTAGAAGAAAGAAGGAAGAAGAGAAGAAAAGGAAACAAATGGATGGTAAAGGTCAATAGCAGTCTATCTAGGGGAAGCTGGGGATTTGGAGGGTGATAAGAGCATCAGGACACACGCCCGGCTTTCTCCAGAGTGCTCCTTCCCAGCTGCAGAGCAGCACATGGCTACGTGAGTGATACACTCCACTCCCTGTGAGCTCTCCAAGGGTGGGGAAAGTGGACACTGAGTGAGTCTCACTTCTAGTATCAAGCGGAAGTGAGTAGGGAAGAGGATGGGGCACGGAACTACCCATTTCCCTGAGTCAATCTTTGGCAATGGCTCTTAAGCATAGGTCAGGGACCCTGACTCACCTGCGTCCCTATTTCTAGGCTCACAACTAGCAGTTGATTGAAATTTACCCCGTGTAATTCAGATATGCAAGGAAAAATGTAGTTTGGCTTGCTATAACTCACCCAACTCAGTTTCCAGACTCTCTTTCCCACCAATGGCAGGGAAGCCTGGGGTTGGAAATGAGGATACGGGTATAAGCTTGCCAAATATTGGTGATGAAATTTCATTTTCTTTTAAAAGTGTCTCTTTTGGAAGGCATACTGTATGGTTCTAATTATATGAAAGTCAAGTACATGGAAAAATCAACTGATGATGATTAAAGTCAAAATACTGGCTACCTCTAGGGTGGCACTGATGGGGAGGAGGCAGGGGAGGCTTCTGGGGTGATAAGAATGTGGCACATCTTGATCTGGAAAGTGGGTAGGTGAGTGTATGCATGTGTTAAGATTCAACAATTGGCCGGGTGCGGTGGCTCATGCCTGTAATCCCAACACCTTGAGAGGCTGAGGTGGGAGGATTGTGTGAGCCCAGGAGTTCAAGAGCAGTCTAGGCAACATAGCAAGACCCTGTCTCTATTTCTTTAAAATAAATACATTAAAGAATTAAATAAAATTCAACGACTTGAGCACTTATGTGTCCACTCTGCACATTTTACTGCATATATTTTAAGCCTCAATTTAAAGATTAAAAACAACAGTCAAGGGTACAAACTTTCAGTTATAAGAAGAATGAGTTCTGGAACTTTAATCACATGGAGACTATAATTAACAATATTGTATTGTCTATCTGAAATTTGCTAACACACACAGAAAAGAAATGGTAAATATGTGTTGGTGATGTGTTCATTAGTTTGATAGTGGTAATTATTTCACAATGTATACTCATCAAATCAACACATTGTACACGCTGAAAACATATAATTTTTGTCTATTTTACCTCAGTAAGCTTGGGGGGAGAATTAAAAACAATAAGAAAGAAAAAAATTTTGGTGGCTCACGCCTGTAATCCCAACACTTTGGGAAGCCAAGGTGGGCGGGTTAGGAGTTTGAGACCAGCCTGATCAACATGGTGAAACCCCATCTCTAATAAAAATAAAAATAAAAATAAATTAGCTGGGCGTAGTGGCGGGTGCCTGTAATCCCAGCTACTTGGGAGGCTGAGGCAGGAGAATTGCTTGAACCCGGGAGGCAGAGGTTGTAGTGAGCCAAGATCGCACCACTGCACTCCAGCCCGGGTGACAGAGTGAGACTCCGTCTCAAAAAAAAAAAAAAGAAAGAAAAAGAAAACAATGTTTCAGGTCTCTTTTGGGTAAATACTTGGCCATATGAAATTTAATGCCCCTCTCAGGACTGTTTTCCCCCCATTTCAAGGGCTCTCCCCTTCACTTCTTTCCTGCACGTCCTCTGAGGGGGAATTTATGCCTCCTACTGGCAATGTGGGAACAAGACTTCGGCCCTTCAAGCTGGTCTCTCCTGAGCTCCCTCTCGTTCCATCTGGTCACTGGGATCCTGCATTGGCATCCAACGACTCTGAGACACAGTACTACCATTGTCTTCATTTTACAAATAAGGAAACTAAACCATGGAGAAGTCAAGTAATTTGGCCAAACTCACAAAGTTAGTAAGTGATGGAGTCAGGAATTAAACTATCAGTCCAGATGCAGAGCCTGTGCTCTTCGCCATTATAAAAGGAGGTTGTCATGTCCAAACAGGACTTTGAGTCTGGCCCCTGAATATCTTCCTCCAACCAGACTGCCTGTTCCCAACTTCATCTGACATAGAAATTCTGGAGCTGTCACTGTTAGAAAGTATGCGGAATATAAAACCACAAAGCTACAGAGGCCCAGCTATGTGGAATTTGAAAAACAGATGGACGAGTCATCATAAGGGACATGTCGGGAAAATTAATGAGTTAAGAGCAGGTTGCTCGAGTGGAGCTGACTGGTCCGAGAACATTTTTTTAAATGCCTCCTTGGAGAGTCTGAGTCATGAGGGTTCTGATGACTAGGAAGGAAAGAGCAAACAGGGGTTGTGGGCTTAGGACTTGGGTTTGTTTTAGAGAGTAAGAGATTAGTTTCGCACAGAGTAGGGAATTCCAGGGACCCGGCAATTACGTAGAGTACACAATTTATAAACATAGCATAGATTTGAAATTCGCCCTTGAATGACCTGTGCTGAAAGTTTGATTTAGGAAAGGCCTGTGTTCCAGATTCTCGCTGCCATCTCTCTCAACCTCACCCTGTACCGGCTTAGATTTTCTTCAACCTGGCTGGACAAGGGGTCTGCTTTCCCTTCTAATTTTAGTTTACCCCCAATTCAAGTAGAGTTATTTTCATCACAAGGAGTCTCAATGGTACCTTCCATATAGCATATAGTTCATCAGAAAGTAACAAAAAGAAGAAGATTTTCTGTGAAATATAGCCTGATATGGTCTATGTCTGTGACCCATTTTCCCACAAACGGACCACTCTGATGGCAGCCACTGTCCCTGGATTTGGAGATCTCTCCTACAGCTGCTTAAGCTTCTTCAGCTATCTGGAGCCACCATTTGTGTAGAAATGTCCTATGTGCTTGAGTGCCCATCTTCAAATTTTCTGTTGTGTATACGTTCAAAAACAATTTTGAAAAGCTGTTTTCCCTCCTCTGTCTATGTTTAATCTAAATTTTTTATCATACATTTAATTATTGCAAAGAATGTAATTTCTACCATATTGTAAATGTAGACATTGAAATAATAAAAGTTTTTACTACTCTTTAAAATGTTTCCAGTAGACTCTAAACACTAGCAGCATCTCAATACTCATCATTATCCTTTTTTTAAATTTTATTTTACTTTAAGAGATGTGGGGGGTCTCACTATATTGCTCAGGCTGGTGTTGAACTCTTGGGCTCAAGCAATCCTCCCGCCTCAGCCTCCCCAAGTGCTGGGATTACAGACGTGAGCCACTGCACCTAGCTTCCATTATCCTTTTGAATAACATATAAGCAAGCTCTTCCTCAATAGTCTAGGTTTTTAAATGGTTCCTCCTGCTCTACGAACTTATAGTTCCATTTTACTTTCCCCATATTATTCTACTGGTCTCTCTCCATATATCATATTAAATACCAGTAACATAAATATTCTACTGCTATACATATATCACAGTATGTCTAATTAATAAACCTTATCTCTTAGAGCAGTTTTGGGTTCACAGCAAAATTAAGTGGTAAGTACAGAGGTCCCATAGACTCCCTGCCCCTACGCAAGCACAACCTCCCCACCTCGTTGACGTCAGGGTTTACTCTTGTATATTCTATGGGTTTTGACAAATGTACAATGACAGGCATCCACCATTGTAGTATCATATACAGTAGTTTCACGCCCTAAGAATCCTCTGTGCTCCACCTATTCATCACCCCACCCTCGTAACCCCTGGCAACCATTGACTCTTGACTGCCTTTATAGTTTTGTCTTTTCTGGGATGTCATATGGTCTGTAATAATTTTTTGCTTGAAAAGCTTTTATTGATCACCCTGTCATACTCCTCTGCATCAAAAGATATGTTTATAAACGTCTAAAAAATTTCCTGTGCCTTGTAAGACTCTGTGTTCAATTTATAGCCCCCAGTAACTTTTTGGTGAATTAAGCAAAAATGCTTCTCTTATGATACGTCTTTCCATATTTTCAAGAAAATATGAATCATTAACTTACCTAACATTTTTTATTTTTCATTTTTTTGAGACGGAGTCTCGCTCTGTCGACCAGGCTGGAGTGCAGTGGTGCAATCTCGGCTCACTGCAACCTCCACTTCCCAGGTTCAAGCTATTCTCTTGCCTCAGCTTCCCACGTAGCTGGGACTACAGGTGCCTGCCACCACGCCAGCTAGTTTTTGTATTTTTAGTAGAGATGGGGTTTCACCATGTTGGTCAGGCTAGTCTCAAAAGCCTGACCTCAGGTGATCCACCCGCCTCCGCCTCCCAAAGTGCTGAAATTACAGGCATGAGCCACCTCGCTTGGCCCACTTACCTAACATTTTAAAAATAACACAACTTACAGAGCGCTTACGAAATGCAGGACTATTCTAAGGCTTCACAATAACCCCATGAAGTGGGTACTATTTTCACTCTCATGTTTACAAATATGGAAACTGAGACCCAGAAGAATTAAGGAATTTGTGGAAAGTCACAATGAAATTGGATTTGAAACCAGAAATTCGAGCTCCACAATCTGTGCTCTTAGCTGACATGCCGTATGGCCTCTCTAAGTGTCTTTTATCTTAAGGTGTAACATTAATCAGTTGGAGCTTACAACATCTTTCTCCTTGAAATCATGCCAAATACACAATTGTTACCTAAACCAAGAAACTAGTGAACAGGTAGCTCTTTCCCCTTACAGAAAATGGTGTACAATTCAGGGAAGTGTGCTTCATAGCACATTGCTTTGTCCCAGCAAGTTGTTGACAAATCTTGAATATTCTAAAATAGGCAGACAGACAGATAAGGTGGGTTGGCTGCCATGGGATTTTTCTCCTTGGTTAAATAAGCCACTGCCTCCTCTATTCTTTCTGCTGATTCTGCTCTTGCTCCAATCTCATGAGATACTCCCTCAAGAGGGATGCATTTTTAAAGAGTGGATGGAAGAGAAGAGATTGTTAAAAAAAAAAGAAAGGAAAAAAAGAAGTTTTTATTACTCCTGTTACTTCATTCTACAGTGTATCTGCGTAAATAACACCTTAACACATGCCAAAATTACCAGTTCCTTACACTCCACGTAGCCCTTCACAGGAATTTATATGAGGCAGGAGAAAACAGGAAGTCCTACTCTGGGTATATGATCCCTAAATTAGAGGTGGTTTTTGAGGTATCCCTTCACTAAAAGGCTTTATTTGACACCCTGAAATGTTCTACACCCTGCGGAAATGTGGTAATAATAATATGGGAGCTACAGAGGAAATGTTGGATGTTCATCAAAGAAGAGTCAGAAAAGTGTAGCCCTGACCACAGAGGTGCCCTCAGACAGATCAGTTCTAGGCCACAAGCACATACGGAAGTTGAAGATCTGGAAAATGGTTCCCATCAAACAACCCACGCCTGCATAATACTCTTCAGGAAGTCTTTATGTACGCCCAAGATGTGGGGGCACAGATGCCACGTGAAGATCATTGTGCTAAATCCACAGTGCAAAGGCACAGGTCTAGATGGGCAGCCCTTTAACCCTGTCCACTTCCTGGACTTTTGCTTGGGTCACGCATGCTTGGTGGGCTGGGGCTTTGTCACATTACAGGAGTAGGTGTATTCCATGACGAAAGCTGGGTAATGATGCTTCCAAACTCTACCTGCACACCCCAGTTGCTGGGAGTAATGAGATACTCACAGCACAACTATGTGAATCAATCACAAGGTAAATTGCTCACCAGGGACTCCCCCCTTTTCTCCTTCCTCTAGCTCAAAATGCCCATTCATTTGAGTCATTTGTTGTTTATTTTTGGAAATAATTTTTTTAAATTTGAGACAGAGTCTCACTCTGTCACCCAGGCTAGAGTGCAGTGACATGATCTCAGCTCACTGCAACGTCCACCTCCCAGGTTCAAGTGATTCTCCTGCCTCAGCCTTCCAAGTAGCTGGGACTACAGGCGCGCACCACCGCGCATGGCTAATTTTTGTATTTTTAGTAGAGACAGGGTTTTGCCATGTTGGCCAGGCTGGTCTCAAACTCCTGGCCTCAAGTGATCTGCCTGCCTCAGCCTCCCAGAATGCTGGGATCACAGGTGTGAGCCACCATGTCCGGCCAGGAAATAAAAATTTTTATTTACATAATGTGCCTGGTAAAAATTTAAGAGCTGTATTGAGCTATAATTTACATACCATATAGTTCACCTGTTTAAAGTATATAAACCTGGCTGGGCAAGGTGGGTCATGCCTCTAATCCCAGCACTTTGGGAGGCTGAGATGGGTGGATCACCTGAGGTTAGGAGTTCAAGACTAGCCTGGTCAACAGTGGTGAAACCCCATCTCTACTAAAAATACAAAAATTAGCCAGGCATGGTGGCACTCGCCTATAATCCCAGCTACTTGGGAGGCTGAGGGAGGAGAATCTCTTAAACCTAGGAAGCAGAGGTTGCAGTGAGCCGAGATTGCGCCACTGCACTCCAGCCTCGGTGACAGAGTGAGATTCCATCTCAAATTTAAAAAAATAATAAGAATAAAATAAAGTATATAAACCAGTGGTTTTAGGCCGGGTGCAGTGGCTCATGCCTGTAATCCCAGCACTTTGGGAGTCCAAGGTGGGTGGATCACCTGAGGTCAGGAGTTCGAGACCAGCCTGGCCAACATTGTGAAACCCCATCTCTACTAAAAATACACACACACACACAAATTAGCTGGGTGTGGTGGCACGCACCTGTAATCCCAGCTACTCGGGAGGCTGAAGCAGGAGAATCACTTGAACCTGGAAGGTGGAGGTTGCAGTGAGCTGAGATCACGCCACTGCACTCCAGCCTGGGCGACAGAGCAAGACTCCGTCTAAAATAAATAAATAAATAAACCAGTGTTTTTTAGTATATTTACAGAGTTGTACTTGGTGAAGCTTTTCATAGACAGACTCAAATCTTTTTTCTCTATTCCAGCTCTTCTTTTTTCCCTTCTAATTCTTCTCTTCCATTTCGTCTCTTTTTCTCTGTTTTGAGCCTTATTACTTGCACGTTAGTCTTCCTGGATCTATCCTCCAAATGTATTATATTTGCCGGGTGATTTTTATTCCTGTATAATTGTGTCTGTTTGAGTTATTTTTCGCGCTTGCTCTTCCGGATTACTAGCATAATTCTCTATAATGGCC
>NT_167249.2:2114577-2139193 GCF_000001405.40 Homo sapiens | reverse complement strand
GGCCGGGGAAACTGTCCAAGACAGGACCGTACCAGAGGCCTTTTCTTGTCCTTTGAATATTTCAACTTCTGTGCAGGAAGGCTTGGGCTTTCCCAGGACAAAATAATTTTTAACATTTTATTTGTCTTATTAAATATTAAATAAATATATTTGTAAAAGATACAGACATGAATAACAATGATACAAAGAATGACAAAGTGACCTTTTAAATTTGAGACCAATTCCATCTAAAACAATCCAAGCCACCTGTAGCTGTTGGTTTGATTGCAATAACCAATACTGGACCATGGTTACTTAACCTATCAACCCAAGAAGAAATCTTTCATAACTGTGATGATCACGAAGGAAATATAAACATGGCTAACCTGTGTCATGAAAAATGGAAGCTAATTAAGGTATCTGAAATGAGTGAGGAGACTGAGGATGTTCTGAAGGAAATGCAGGAAGGAGAATTAGCCTAAGTGCATCCATGTTGAACTTATACATAAATCTTTCCTTGGTTGGCAAGAGTCCAGAATATGATATCACAGTGTGTGAAGGAGGCTGAGAGGAAACAGACTGTCCCATGCATTGCTGGCAGCAGTGCAGATGGCACAGTTCTGTGGAGCAGACCTGCAATATCTACCAGAACTATACATGCACAAACCCTTTGACCCAGAGATCCCCCTTCTGGGAATCTATCTTATAGATTCACCTACACAAAGGTAAACTTGCTTAGGTATAAGGTTATTCATTGTGGCATTATTTATAATAACAACGGATCAGAAACAGCCCAACAACCCAGCAATAGGAGACTGGCGAACACACAGCTCTGGTCGATCCACCAATGGAATACTATAGAGCTGTCAAAATGAAAAAGGCAGGAGGAACAGCTTTACGTGGTGATAGGGAAGGATACCCAGTATATTTAGTTACGATTTTAAAAGGAAGGAGCAAGATGTATATAACATGCTTTTTTTGTGTAATAAAAGAGGAAATAAAAGTATGTTATTTATGTTTGCATAAAGAAACGTTGGGAGAATAAATAAGGCACTATTCTGGTAAAAATGGTTACTGACGAGCAATGTGAGGGGAAAAAGAGAGGGTAAGTGTGGGGTAGGAGTGATATTTCTCATGTACTTATTGATGTCATTTTTATTTGAACTACATAAATGAAATATCATTTTAAAAACTAGGCCTGGGTGTGGTGGATCACACTTGTAATCCCAGCACTTTAGGAGGCCAAGGTGGGAGGATGACGAGTTCAGGAGTTCAAGACCAGCCTGGCAACATAGCAAGACTTTGTCTCTACTAAAAAAATTTTAAAAATTAGCCAGGCATGGTGCCACATGGCTGTAGTCCCAGCTACTCATGAGGCTGAGGTGGGAGGATTGCTTGAGCCCAAGAGTTGAAGGCTTCAGTGAGCCACTGCACTTCAGCGTGGGTGACAGAGCAAAACCCTGTCTCAAAAAACATACATAGAATTTTAAAAATCCATATCTGGACGATTTATTAAAATCAAAGAAATACAGAGGGCAGCTATTTAGTAACCAAGAAATAAGGACATGGATCAAAAATAATCGTATTTTGTTTTTCTGACCAAGTCCCTCCTCTGGTCCCATGCCCCACTTTTCATAAAGACAAAATTTCCAAACTTGGAGACATTTCAGGGAATCCTTGCCAAGAAAAATGCTGATAAATTGATGGACACAGGAGCCTACAATGCAAAAAAAACAGAAAGCTATAAAATGTTCCAGGTGGCTTGAGAAGCATGTTATTTTTGTCATTTGGGGCTATAAAATGTGCATGAAATGTCACATTCCTTACTTTTACTCAATCAAATGTAATCTGCTCTGTGTCCTACCCAGAAGACTGGGAGGAAATTCAACCCTAGTCATTAGTGGGGCTGTCTCCTCCCTCCAACACATTACAAAATACCAGGGGCTTAGGCAGTACCAGAAAAGCTGGGAGCAAGGCCAGGTCCTTAGTACTCAGGATAGCCAACTTAGTTCGCTCTAGCTGCTGTGACAGAATACCAGAGACTAGGTGACTTAAATGACAAATATGTTTTTGTTTGTTTTTGAGACAGGGTCTCACTGTATCACTCAGGCTGGAGGGCAGTGTTGCAATGTCACCTCACTACATCCTCAACCTTCCAGGCTCAGGTGATCCTCCTACCTCAGCCTCCCGCGCAGCTGGGACTATAGGTGCATACCACCACATCTGGCTAATTTTTCTTTTTTTTTTTTTTTTTAGACACAGTCTCGCTCTGTCACCCAGGCTGGAGTGCAGTGGCACAATCTCGGCTCACTGCAACCTCCGCCTCCCAGGTTCAAGCAATTGTCCTGCCTCAGCCTCCTGAATAGCTGGGACTACAGGTGCCCGCCACCATGCCCAGCTAATTCTTTGTATTTTTAGTAGAGATGGGGTTTCACCATGTTGGCCAGGCTGGTTTTGAACTCCTGACCTCAGGTGATCTGCCCTTCTTGGCCTCCCAAAGTGCTGGGATTACAGGCATGAGCCACCATGCCAGCCTAAGTTTTTGTATTTTTGTAGAGATGGGGTTTTCCCCATGTTGCCCAGGCTGGTCTCAAACTCCTGGGCTCAAGTAATCTGCCCACCTTGGTCTCCCAAACCTGTACTAGGATTACAGGTGTGAGCCACTACACCCAGCTGAATGAATATGTATTTCTCACAGTTCTGGAGACTAGGAAGTCCAAGATCCAGGTACCAGCAGATTTGATGTCTGCTGAGGGCTCTCTTCCTGATTCTCAGACTGCAGCCTTCTCACTACCGATGGCCGAGAGAGAGCTCTGGTCTCTAACTCGTCTTATAAGGGCACTAATCACACATGGGGGCTCCACCCTTATGACCTCAGCTAAACCTAAGTACCTCCAAAAGGCCCCACCTCCAAATATCATCACACTGGGGGTTGGGTTTTCAACATATTAATTATGGGGGGACAGAGACATTTAGCCCATAGAAGCCACTATTGTTTCTCTAGCTGCCTCTACTTTCAGAGGCTACAGTCAAGTCCTGGAGTGATGTCCTCTGGGTCAGGCCCAGCACTTCCCCTCACATCAGCAATGTCCACATCACCCATAGTAGAATCTCCCTGGGGACCCTGGCCTCTGTGCCCCTAGCTGGGAGAAATCATGGCTTCTCTGGGCATTCTCCAGCAATCCTTCAGCCTGGGAATGCTCTGGGCAGAAGTGGGGGTCTCCTCACTCGTGGGGAGAAAGCACCAAATTTCCAGACCCTAGAGAATCTCAACCTCTGCTCAAGACACACCCACAGTCCACTTCTGCCTCTCTTAGCCTAGGTGTTTGCGCATAATCCAAATGCCATCACTACCCACCTTCTCCATACTCAAGAAAGAGCCTCAGAATTGGGAACAAAAAGCCCAGTAACTCTCTTGGTGAGGGGAGTATACACAGAGCAACAAGAACAAAACAAAACAATTCCACAGTAAATTACCCTGCCACAAGCCTGGCATGGGAGCTTTGATGAACTGTAATGGAATGAAGAGCTGGGTAATGCTGTAGCCGCAACCCGGCAAAGTGAGTTGAAGGAGACAGAGCCTTACAGAACCAAGAAGCTACTCACCCTGGGCATGAAAGCTCTGGTCCAGGTGCAGATACAGCTGTTTCAGTTATCTATCACTGAGCAACCGCCATCCCAAACCTAGTGGCTTACAACAACAGCCACTTCCTTACATAAAAAATTGTGTCTGTCAGTTCAGCAATTCTACTCTGCTTGATGTTAACTGGAGTCACTCAATGCCATCTTCGGCAGCTGGCTGGTCTGGAGTGTTCAAGACAGCTTCCTTCACATTTTTGTCACCTTTGTGGGGACAGCTGGGCTCTGCTAGTGGTTGGCCAGAGTACCATACTCGGCCACTCCAGCAGGCAGTGGCAGGGAATTTGAACTTCTTCTTTTGGGGGGAAGAGGGGTACAGGGTCTCGCTCTGTTGCCTAGGCTGGTGTGCAATGGCATGGTCATAGCTGACTACAACCTTAAAGGTCTCAAGCAATCCTCCTGCCTCAGCCTCTTGAGTAGCTGGGACTACAGGCGTGAGCCACCATTCCCGGCTAATCTTTTCTTTTTTGTAGATATGGACTCTCACTATGTTGACCAGGCTGGTCTGAACTTCTGACCTCAAGTAATCCCCCTGCCTCAGCCTCCCAAAGTTCTAGGATTACGGAGCACCACTGTGCCCAGCCTGAATTTGAAACTTTTTTTTTTTTTTTTTTTTTTCCTGAGACAGAGTCTTGTTCTGTCACCCAGAGCTGGAGTGCAGTGGTGCAATCTCAGCTCACTGCAACCTCCACCTCCGGGGTTCAAGCAATTCTCCTGCCTCAGCCCCCTGAGTAGCTGGGATTACAGGTGCGCACCACCACATCCAGCTAATTTTTGTATTTTTAGTAGAGACGGCATTTCACCATGTTGGCCAGGCTGGTCTTGAACTCCTGACCTCATGATCCGCCCGCCTCAGCCTCCCAAAGTGCTGGGATTACAGGTGTGAGCCACCGTGCCCAGCCTGATTTTGAACTTTTTACATGGTGATTCAGGCTCCCAGAGAATGCTCCAGGAGACAGGAGGTGGAAGGTGCTATTGAATCCTGTGCTGGAAGCTGGTTTAGCATCACTTCCAACAATTTGTGTCGCTCGAGCAGCCACACAGCCACCCAGATTTAAGGGGTCCCCACCTCCCAATGGGAGAAGTAGCAAAGGATATGTAGCCAACTTTTAAATCTGCAATGAATAGAAGTAGTCCCCTTCCTCCAGCTGATTGCCAGGTGAGTTGGGGTTGGCTTCAACAATGGCATATATAAAACTTAGTGGCTCTGGTGAAGACATCAAGATCTCAAACTTAATCAAATGTCTGCCTGGCTGATGTGAGCAGCCCACAGGCCTTACTGCCAGATTTACCAATGCTGATGCCCATGCTCAAGAGTTCAGCTAGCATCTTGTGAAGGAGGCAGCAAATAGGGCTCTCAATAACACAAACCCATCTGTATTAGGGTACTCCAGGGAAGCAGACCCAATAGGAGAAATCAGGGCCAGGCACGGTGGCTCATGCCTGTAATCCTAGCACTTTGGGAGGCCGAGGTGAGAGGATCGCTTGAGCCCAGGAGTTAGAGACCAGCCTGGGCAACATAGTGAGACCTCATCTGTAAAAAAAGTTTAAAAATTAGTTGGGCATGGTGGTGGGCACCTGTAGTCCTAGCTACTCAGGAGGATGAGGCTGGAGGATTGCTTGAGCCTGGGAAGTCAAGGCTGCAATGAGCTAGGATTGTGCCACTGCACTCCAGCCTAGGCAACAGAGTGAGATCTTGTCTCAAAAAAAAAAAAAAGAAGAGAGAGAGAGAAATCAGTAGATGATATGATAGATAGATAAGTAGATAGATAGATTAGATAGATCGATCTATCGATCGATCAATCAATCGATATATAGATTGATAGATAGAATGAGGAATTGGCTCACATTATTATGGAGGCTCTAAAGTCCCACAGTCTGCCATCAGCGAACTGAGACCCAGGAAAGCCAGTAATATAATTCCAGTCTATGTCCACAATCTTGTGGACCAGAGGAACCAGGGGAGCTAATAGTACAAATCTCAGTCCAAGGAGAGAAGAAGACTGATATTCCAGTTCCAGCGCGCAGGCGGGAAGAAACAGTAGTGAATTTCTCTTTCCTCTTTTCGTTCTGTTCAGGCTCTCAGCAGATTAGATGATGCCCACCACACTGGCGAAGACAATCTACTGAGTCCACAATGCTAATCTCACCTAGAAACACCCTCAGAGACACACCAAGAAATGTTATTTAATCTGGGCACCCTGTAGTGCAACACAATCAAATTGACACATAAAATTAATCATTGAATTTTATACCCTAAAAATCGCAACATCTAATCCATTTCCATTTTTGATGCAGATAAAAAATCCATGAGATCAATTCAGGAAGCCATAAAAAGGTGATCAAAAAGAAGATGGAGTCAAGGAAGATGTCAAGCAGGAAAGAGCAGAAAGTCCTTTTTTTTTTTTTTTTTTTTTTGAAAGACAGAGTCTCATTTGTAGCCCAGGCTGGAATGCTGGAATGCAGTAGTGCGATCTCAGCTCACCTCCACCTCCCAGCCTCCAGGAAGGTGGGATTACAGGCATGTGCCACCACACCCGGCTAATTTTTGTATTTTTAGTAGAGATGGGGTTTCACCATGTTGGTCAGGCTGGTCTCGAACTCCCGACCTCAGGTGATCCATCCGCCTTGGCCTCCCAAAGTGCTGGGATTACAGGCGTGAGCCACTGCATCCAGCTACTTCTATCTTTTAAAAAAATGTTTTTATATAAATAAAACATACATACAGAGAAGTGCATTAATTTTAAATGTACAGCTCAAAGAACTTTCGCAAACAGCATATGCATGCAACCAGTGCCTAGATTAAGGAAAGGACATTCCCAGGATGCCAGGGGCCCCCTCCTGTGCCTTTTAGTTACTACCCTCCCCAAAGGACAACCTCTCTCCTCACTACTACCATTTTGCCTGGACCTGAGCTTTATATAAATGGAATCATACAATGTGCTCTTTCACAGCTGGCTTCTTTCACTCGACTTTATGTCTGCAGATTTGCCTGTTATCACATGCAGTTATAGGAACATTCATTTTCAGTGCTGAGAAATATTCCACTGCATGCATATGCCACAATTTTCCTCCCCTTTCTCCTGCTGAAGGCTATTTGGGTCATTCCCACTTTAGGCAGTGTGGGCTCCAGTGCTTCTCTATTGGGAGCAGCTCTGCTCCTCCTGTCCCTCAATGAGTGCCACTCACTGAGGACACCACGGAGAGTGTGACTGGGCACCACACAGTGCCCCCAACTCAGGGGCACCAGGTCCCCTTTGGCTCAAAGACGAAGCAAGACAGAGCTTTCTGTCTGACCCCACAAACCTGTCTGCCATTTCTGCCACCTCCCCAGGACTCAGCCCAGGGACCCCTTTCTCTAATACCCACAAATGTGCACATTGTTATTATGGCCCCTCTGCCCCACCAGCACAAGGGAACCCCTTTCTGTTGGAAGGTGAGGGGATGGTTGTTCTTAGTGTCCATTTCTCCTAAATACCTGGCCTATGTCATAAATCCTTTCAGTTCCCATGAGGTCTCATGTTTGAAATTTATGAGGCAGAAGATGCTGCTTGGCTCTGCTTTCTGCTGACTGCCCACCCTCCTACCCCAACTGCTAGAAGGGCTGGGGAGTGGGAGGGGAGGAGGGAGAGATACAGATGAAATAAATCAGAAGTTGTTTTTTTTTTTTTTTCTAGAGATGAGGTCTCTCTCTGTCACCCAGGTTGGAGTACAGTGGCAAAATTGCAGCTCACTGCAGCCTGGAACCCCTGGGCTCAAGTGATCCTCCTGCCTCAGCCTCCCAAGTACCTGAGATTACATGTGTGAGCCACCGCACCTGGCCAGAGAATATTTCAAAATGTTAGCCCTCCACATTTACAACGGAAAGGATTTGGACCAACCCACTTCTGCCATCTCTCTTGGGCAATGGACACTGATGGTTAGGGATGCCCTTACTTGTTCCCAGCGGGCTTCTCATACTCTAACAAACACACAGAAAGGCATCCAGCTCCACAGTGTCTCAGTCTGTGTCATTGGTTTGTCTGGGGCTCCAAATGTCCCACTTCTTCTGGGCATCCATTATCTTCCCTGGAATAGAGTGCAAAGGCCCCTCAGCTCAGTGGTCTTCCCTCAGAGCCTGGAAGCCCCTTCATTATGGTGGCTGGATACTTTCTTGAGATATTAACATGTGGTTTTTTGTTCTTCCTGTTTTGTCACTGTTCTACCCCATTCCAGGAAGCGTTTGCACATCCTGGCCCCAGAAGATTTTGCGTAGCCTCACCAAGAGAAGAAGTTGGAAAGAAAAAAAAAGAAGTTGGCAAGGCATCCAGAGGAGACCCCCCCCAGCACCTGGGTTCTCTGCCAGGGGAGAGAGGTAAGCACACTGGACTGAAGGAGGCAAAAGCTGCTCAAGGGAGTGGGGGGTGGGGGGAGATTCCCAGATGCTGTGGAAGGGATGTGGTTTGGGGGTCCTTGGAGTAGTGAGGAGAAGCCCTGCTCCCACATAGAACCCCACACACAACAGTGGGGATGGAGGGAGGTCAGGGATTCCAAAGGAAACTAGCTAAGAACCTTGGCCTTACTAACCACAAAGACTCCCATTCATATCAGCTGTGTCTGAAGGTCAGAGGCCCAGACTCTGAATGTTCTAGGCTGGGTCAGACCCCTGGGATAGTCACTGGACCCCATAGGAGAAGAGATAGGGGAGTCCCTAATAAAACTTCAATTACATTTCCTGCCTGCTTGGTCAGTGGATACTAAATGCAGATGACTTAGAAAAAGAAAGAATTGTGAGATGCTGTGGAGTCAACTCAATGTCATCATTAGCGTCTTCCTCTTCAGAGTCCTGTATCCCAGCGACGGAGCTCAAGGTTCAGACTAAAGGCTTCCTACCCCTGGCAAGGAGGTCTTTATAGTGGAGGTGAACGTTTACACACTACACTCTGAGAATTTTTTTTTTAAAGTAGCCTCTATTTTGTATGTCTTCTCATCCTGTTAGAGTAAGTAGCTAGTCAGGGATGAGCAGGGCAGGAGAGGGCGCCCCAGACACACACCCACAGGAATGTCAGGCAAACATCAGGTGAGGGTCAGGCAGTTGTTAACGGGCTCTCTAAAATAATTGGTCACAGCTGGCACCAGAGACAGGCAGTCTCCCAATAGAAACATCTGAAACTGGTGATCAGCAGTTTCCCAATAAGATCCCAGTAAGTGACCAAAGAGGCAAGAATTGAGGTTGCTGCAGACCCCTATGGATTTGCTGCCACTAACGATCCCTACTACTGCTGCTGGGGAGGAGGTTTTAATAGTATCTATTAATTAAAGATATCCCAGTCTCTTTTCTATCCTCCCTCCCCAAATACTGCTCGGTCCACCTCATGAGATTGTCCTGGGCCTTTTGAGACCCAGGCAATGGGAAGAGAAGGCCATGGAAGTGGACTGAGAATGCTGGGTGTCTAGATTAACTATGCTGCCCTCCGGAAGGCACCTCCAGTAGGATGCACAGCTGTGGCTATCAGCAAATTCCCCTTCCTCCTCTTGCAGGTGCCCTAGAGAACATGGATAGGGCTGCAGGTGGTTAATGATTCAAAGACTACTCAGTGAAGACGCTGCCTGGGGGAACAGAGTGTGGCCACATCTAAGGAAAGAAGGTACAGGTGAACAGGAGAGGAGGTGAAGGAGAAGCGAGCAGGTGGGGGTTGCGGAGGGGCTGAGGAAGGTCAGGCAGAGCCAGGAGACCAATCCAGCTCCTTGGAAGGTAGCTCAGTTGACTCCTTACCATGTGGCATTTGTAAAAGGTGGACAGTAGAGGCCTGGGGCCAGAGAGAGGCTGGACCAGATTCCCACTGTAAAAATCTCCTTGCCAAGGTCCAGGTAGGGTGTCCTTAAGTCTGAATCTTGATCCCCATCGCTGGGATACAGGACTCTGGAAGAGGAAGATGCTAAATGACTGCATTTGGGGAGGGAAAGACACGCTCACTTCTCCCCAGCCCCAAGTTGCCCTGTGTTGCTGCCACACTACGTAACTACAGTCATAAACTATATTTGAAGCATGATGGAACCTGAACCATGGCAGTAGCTTAAGTTGACTACATTAACAGGGAAAGCTGAGTCATGATTCTATACTGAATATAAAAATTAAGTCAGATGTGCTCACTCACATGCACACAAATATTCTGGAAAGCTGAGATCCACAGCCCCAAGATGGGGAAAGGGCTCCCCCTGGTGGGATTGCCAGAGGTTCCCCCATGGAACTGCACGCCCCAGACCAAGCCAAAGCCCCAAGCAAAACAATCTGCTATGTCATGCAGGATTGGAAGACTTTCGTTTGCTTCAGGGCCAATTTATGACTCCCGGTATTCTCTGTCCTGAAATGACACCCAGTTCCAGGAAGAACTGGATTCTAGGACCAACTTGTACAGGCGCCCCAGGAGACAGTCTGGGCATGCAGGTCAGCCGATGTGTGCCGGGGAAGACTGTCCACATTTGCTCCTCAGTCCCACTGGGCCTGATCACAGGCCACCCCCCATAGTAAAGGGGAGCCAGGGCCCCTGGGCAAGGGTAGATGCTGCCTCTCATGCCCCTGAATTAGCCCAGAGGCGCTCCAGCAGGAAGCCTTGTTTGGCTTATATTGCAAAGGAGGCACCACTTACTATGCAGTCCCCTGCCCGGAGCACCTTGCCTGTGCTACTGAGAAATGTCCTGCTGCAGCAGGAGAGGCGGATCGAGCTACAGCCAAGAGTGTGCCCTGCCTCCATCTGTTGACCCAGGTCAGAATGATGTGGAACACTGGACAGTTAACTCACTGGGTTCAAAAAACACAGCAACACAATGCTCTGGGTGCCTCCTGGCTGTGATGTGCACTATTGTTTTCTGGGGAGATCCCATCACATATGAAACTTCAGATGTTCATCCAGTGATCATGTCAAGCTTCCATTGTTTGCTCTCATATGCTCCCTGGAGCTGGATTCCACCCTGGCTCAAGACCTCTGATGAAGTGCTGGCATGGAGCAGAAACTCCCTTAGGCAGAAACCCCCTTTCCCCCTTGCCACCCACCCCCCACCAGCACCCCATCCTAGGGATGCCACCGCAGGTCTCCTCTCATAGCAGCACTACTTCCTCAATTCTCAACTTCAGGTTACTGCTACAGAGTCTCGCACCTGATCCAGCCTTGAGAAAGTGATTAGAGTGTGACCGGAAAAAATTGTTAGTGATCCCCAAATATGTAGTATAAAGCTACAGTAAATGCTTCTAAAAAATAGACACAAGTGAAACAGGCTAGCCCAGGGGCTTTCAATACAGAGCAATGATAGATATAATATTAGAGAAAATTAAAAAGCAATGCTCCACAAAGGGAGAATATCCCCAAAGATATTCCCAGAAACTGAATATAAATGCAAAAGATGAACAGGGCTACAGCTGTGGCCTGTTGGGTTCTGACTCAGGGTACAGTTAAAGGCAGCTGGGAAGTCAAGTCCTGTTGAGTACTGAGTGGTGAGATAGAATTAAATTGCCCACTGAGGTGGGGGACCAGTGTCATGGTCACTGTGAAAATATTAGGGACTCAGATTCCCCTCTTGCCCACACTTCCACCCTCTTCAAGAAGACTGAAATAGCTTGCTACTAACTTCGCCTGGGACTGTGGCCTAGGGAGGCCCATGGTTACCAAACGGCACCACACCTGGGCTTAACTGAGCCACCCACAGCCATGGGGCTGGATGTGAGTCATTCCCAGGGTTATCCCAGGGCAGGAGCCCCGACTGCCATATAAGACCTAGTCCTGAACACTGGCCCCTGGGAAGGGCAACTGCACAGCCACTAGGCAGGGAGGAGTGAGGAACAAGAGAAGGGAGACAGAGAAAGCCTGGAAATGAACCTGGAAGCTGAAATTCCAAAACACATAAAAACTAACACTGAGAAAGGCAGCCAGCAACATCAACACTTGATG
This sequence comes from Homo sapiens, assembly GCF_000001405.40. Lineage (NCBI taxonomy): Eukaryota > Metazoa > Chordata > Mammalia > Primates > Hominidae > Homo > Homo sapiens. The sequence continues at coordinate 2,127,650 of NT_167249.2, read as the reverse complement.
CATGACAGGTGAAGTGAAAAGAATATAATCATTGGAAAGAGTCTTCAGTATCCTCAAGGAGGCAGTTAAACATATAATGTTCACTTAAAAATCAAGCCACTATGAGATTACAACCAGGCAGAAACGTGCTGTCATATAACAATGGAACAGAAAAATATTATGCAATAAATGGTTCAGGAGAAATAATTATTAATATTTGGGAAAATACATATAGTAGATGTAAATCCTCACTTCATCTAACATATCCTGAGCAAATCTAAATATTTTTTAATCTCTGAAAAGGGTAGGATGTTCTAAATTAGCTGAAAGAAGCTAGGTGTGTTGGTGGCGTAATTCCCAGCTACTTGAGAGGCTGAGGCAGGAAGATCGCTTGTGCCCAGAAATTCGAGACCCGCCTGAGAAACATAGCAAGACTCCCAGTCTCTTAAAGAAAAATAAAACTAGATTTTAAGATAAATATCATACAAGAAATATGAAAGTAATAAGTAAAACATGGGAAAAAAGTAAAAAAACAAATTAACTGAAACAATAGGCCAACAAAAGAAAGGAATATATGCATAGATTTAACTACAAAAAGTTTTTAAATTTTTTTTTTTCTTTTGAGACAAAGTCTCGCTCTGTCACCCAGGCTGGAGTGCAATGGCACAATCTTGGCTCACTGCAAACTCCACCTCCCACATTCAAGCGATTCTCCTGCCTCAGCCTCTCGAGTACCTGAGTACCTGGAACTACAGGCACAGGCCATCATGTCCAGCTGATTTTTTGTATTTTTAGTAGAGGCAGGGTTTCACTATGTTGGCCAGGCTGGTCTTGAACTCCTGACCTCAAGTGATCCACCCTCCTCGGCCTCCCAATGTGCTGGGATTACAGGTGTGAGCCACTGCGCCTGGCTAATTTTTATATTTAATAGAAAAAAATGGAATGCAAATAAATAAGGAAAATGTTGGCAACAGTCTCTGAATCCAGCCTTTCTGGGTATGACTTTGGGCAAGTTACTTGACCTCTCCAGGCTTCTATTTCCTCCGTCATACGAGACTAATTATTGTACCGTGAGGCAGGATTAACTGAATTACTCCATTTAAAGCTCTTAGAACAGTAACCAGCACCTAGAAAATACCCCACAGCTATTTGTATTTTATATTGTACTGTGTGAGAAATTCAGACACAGACAATTTATAACAGAAACACCATAACTAATTAACAATTATCAACGAACAATTCAACTTCATTAATATTGAAAAAAATCTAATTTTTTTTTTGCCTTTCTAGTTGATAGACTGTTAAAATAACAATAGTGTATTCCTGCCCTAACCCTGGGGTCCTGTTCCTAAAAGCCTCCTTGGATGAAAACATTGTGATTAAGAAACTCAGGACTTTATGAAAAGTTAGGGATAGGGAATACCGAAATCTTTAGAAAACCCATGTTTTTTAAAACTTTTGCGTTTTTTATGTTTTAAAACTATTCCCAGCCAGGCACGGTGGCTCACGCCTCTAATCCCAGCACTCTGGGAGGCCAAGACAGGCAGATCACTTGAGGTCAGGAGTTCGAGACCAGCCTGGCCAACATGGCAAAACCCCGTCTCTACTATAAAATACAAAAATTAGCAAGGCATGGTGGCGGGCGCCTGTAATCGGAGGCTGAGGCAGGAGAATCGCTTGAATCTGGGAGGCAGAGGTTGCAGTGAGCCGAGATGGCGCCATTGCACTCCAGCCTGGGTGACAAAGCGAGACTCCGTCTCAAAAAAAAAAAAGCTATTCCCTATTTTTACTAAAATACACTCATAAAGAGAGTATCAATTTTATAAAACTTAGATTGGTAACTGCTTACTGAACAATTACTTCCATTAATTTTTCCTTACTGGAGCATAGCCTTCTAAAACCTCTCCCCTGCGGTTTCAGTGAGATGTTTGCAAATCAGTTAAGTGGGTCTATAAGGAAGAACTGTGGTATTTGTTTGCATATGGTTCCTCATCCAAACACTGCGAGCCTTTTCAGTTATCAGTGGCTGTATGTAATGGGCAATTATAAAACAGAGAAAGAGAAAGTGATCCAAGCGGAACATGCTATGGAAGGTTGCACCAGGAAGAGATGCTTGTGCACTGTCTGGAATGAGCCAGTGGTCCCAGCCCAGGGATTCTGGTTCACTGGATCTAGGGATGGGCCAGGCACGTGCCGCTTGGAAGGCTCTGCAGGTAGTTCTAATGTGCACCCTGTCATGAACCTGCGGAAGAGGATTGGATCAGGGAAGGGACACTTGATTTCTCAGCTTTAACATAAATGAGGGTTTCCATTTTCTGGGTTTTAATCTTCTCCTTTCACTGTAAAATGGAAGAGTTGGACTAAAGTGGAATCTTCGTTATATGACGAGGCAGCACAATATGCGAGAAAGCACACAGGACTTAGGGTCAGGCCACTGGAGCTGGTGTTCTCTCCAGAGTCATTCTTCCTCTCCTTCACACTTACATCCACCCTTCCTACCCTAAAATCCATCTCCCATCTGTCCCCACTCAGTCCCTTAACCACTGCCTTTTTTTTTTTTTTTTTTCGAGATGGAGTCTCGCACTGTCACCCAGCCTGGAGTGCAATGGTGCCATCTTGGCTCACTGCAACCTCCGCTTCCCGGGTTCAAGTGATTCTCCTGCCTCAGCCTCCCAAGTAGCTGGGATTACAGGCATCCACCACCACGCCCGGCTAATTTGTCTTTTTTTTTTTTTTTAAATCAAGCAATCCCCTGAAACTGAATAGGCTCAGAGAGACTCCTGCCACTAATTCAGATGTTCATCACCTCTCACTGGAGCAATTTCCATAGCTTCCCAACTACTTTTCCCGACACCAGTTTTTGTGTTTTTTTTTCTTTTTTGAGACAGGATCTTGCTCTGCTGCCCAGGCTGGTATGCAGTGGCGTGATTATGGGTCACTGCAGCTTCCGTCTCCTGGGCTTGAGTGATCCTCCCACCTCAACCTCCTGAGTAGCTGGGACTACAGGCATGCACCACCATGTCTGGCTAATTGTTTAAAACTTTTGCAGAGATGAGGTCTCACTATGTTGCCTAGGCTGGTCTCAAACTCCTGGCTCAAGCAATTCTCGCATGTTGGCCTCCCAAAGTGCTGGGATAACAGATGTGAGCCACCACACCCAATCCCTGATACCAGTTTAGATCCTCTCTAATCCCCCTTTGCACCGCCTTCTGGTATGCATCTTCCACTGCTGCTGAAACCTCTGGCTGATCACAGGAGGGTACATTTTCCCCACCTCATATGCCAGTCATTTTATTAGATCATCAAAATCCTGGCAGTCACCAGTGAGCAATTTACATTTTTGCAACGTGGTTCCCATTATTCTACTGTCTCTTTCTTTCTTTAGTAAACCCTCAATGTTTCTTGTATAAGAAATGGGCTGGGATGGCTGGGCGGGGTGGCTCACACCACTGCACTCCAGCCTGGGCAAGAGAGCAAGACTCCATCTCCAAAAAAAAAGAAGGAGAAGGAGGAGAAGAAGAAGAAGGGGAAGAGGAAGAAGAAGAAGAAGGAGAAGGAGAAGTGAAAGAAGAAGAAGAAGAAATGGGCTGGGATGTTATCAAGAAGCTTTGTCATTTTGGTTTATTCTTTTTTTTTTTTGAGATGGAGTCTTACTCTGTCACTCAGGCTGGAGTGCAGTGGTGCCATCTCGGCTCGCTGCAACCTCTGCCTCCCGAGTTCAAGCGATTCTCCTGCCTCAGCCTCCCAAGTAGCTGGGATTACAGGCACCCGCCACCATGCCCAGCTAATTTTTGTATTTTTAGTAGAGACGGGGTTTCACCATGTTGACCAGGCTGGTCTTGAACTCCTGACCTCATGAACCGCCTGCCTTGGCCTCTCAAAGTGCTGTGATTACAGGCATGAACCACTGCACCCGGCCCATTTTGGTTTATTCTTTGCAATCAATAAACTTTTAAAGGACTTCTGCCTTCACCAGGAGCTGCATCCCACTTCACACATCTAGGCACTGAGTGTTCCCTTGGGCCACAATCAAAGAGCCTCTCATGGCATTCCCATCTTGCCCCTGTGGGACTAAAAACCAAGATTAGAAAGCTCTTTGAAAGTTGGAACTCTGCCTTATTTACTCTTTCTTCCAAGCCCCTATATGGTGCCTGGAATGCTTGTTGAATAAACAAATCTATGCACCTAGAACAAATATTAGAAATAGACCTTTAAAATCTCCCAGAGTCAAAAATATGTAGAAGCACAAAACAAGCAATGAATGTTTTTACTTTCTCAGTTCCCTTCTTGTCATAACCCAAACCCCACAAGTTCCAAATCATATTCAAAAGTAACCGAAAGGGACAAGCTAATCCTTAGGGACCAATGCCACTCATCCTCAGATTCCACAGGACAGTCAGCACTTCTCCTGACAAAATATGATGGTATTTTAGCTCAACAATGCTAATATTAGCTACAATCCCTCATCACCCTCTTCATCCACTCCGAGATTCAAGGGCTCAACAGTAAGGAGTTTACCTCAAAGGAAGGTGTGTGCTAGAAGCAGGTAGAGACACGCTCATTTCTAACTCTTAGAACAGACAATTCTAAATGCCAGTTGACGATTTCAGTGTGGTTTTCTGGCCATCAGGTACAGACAAATTCCTTTTTGAACCTTAAAATTCCAAAGATGGGTCTCCCCTGCCTGTGTATAAAAAGCCAGCTAGGAGTAAGAATTAGAAATGAGCTTTCTCAGGGGCATTTTCACCATTAATTATCTAGAGTTTTTTTTTGTTTGTTTTTTCAGAGTAGTAGCCATTCTCTTTGTTTATCTTAATGAGCCCAGTTATGCCATCTGGTGGCCAAAATAAATTGAAAACATGCAACTATGCTGTCAGAAAGTGTGAACGTGTCCTTTTTAGAGTTATTCCCTTTCACCCCTTAGTTTTCTCCCCATTTTCCATGAGCATCTATCACTCACTACATAAGGAGTACCAGGGCATTGATCTTGATGGTGCCTGTTTCCCTGCATGGAAAGGTAAGAAAGTTTGGTCTTGGTACAAGTGAAACTGGTTAAGATCAAAAGAAAAAGAAGGACAAGTTAGGGACAGGACCCTTGCCCATGTCCAAAGGAACAGAATAATGTTTCCAGAAGAAAGAGCAAGAGCAGAAGCCAGTGCCCCCAGCTTATCAGTAAGCAGCATGGAATTTGACTAGGAAACAGCAGAACGGCCACTGCTAAGTGGGAATCACCATAACACCTGAAAAAAATAATAATAACAGCAAGAGTAGCTGCTCCAAATGTGTTCAAACCTCCTGGTCTGAATGGATTACATTCCTAAGTACCAAAATAAAAATTAACTGAGAGTATCTCCAAGTCACTATCAACGATCTCTGAGAAATCACAAAGAGGCAGAAAGGTATTAGAAGTTGGAGATTGTGTGGCTCTGATTCCCAAAGATGGAAAAAAAGATGAATGTTGAAAAGCACAGATCAGGCCAGGTGTGGGGGCTCACGCCTGTAATCCTAGCACTTTGGGAGGCTGAGGCAGGTGGATTACTTGAGTTCAGGAGTTTGAGATGAGCCTGGGCAAAACCCCATCTCTACAAAAAATACAAAAATTAGCTGGGCACGGTGGCTCACGCCTGTAATCCCAACACTTTGGGAGGCCGCGGCAGGCATATCACCTGAGGTCAGCAGTTCGAGACCAGCCTGACCAACATGGAGAAACCCTGTCTCTACTAAAAATACAAAATTAGCCAGGTGTGGTGGCGCATGCCTGTAATCCCAGCTACTCGGGAGGCTGAGGCAGGAGAATTGCTTGAACCTGGATGGTGGAGTCTGCAGTGAGCCGAGATCGTGCCATCACACTCCAGCCTGGGCAACAAGAGCAAAAACTCCATCTCAAGAAAAAAAAAAAATTAGCCAGGTGTGGTGGTGCACACCTGTAGTCCCAGCTACTTGGGGGACTGAGGCAGGAGGATCACTTGAGCCCAGGAAGTCAAGGCTTGCAGTGAGCCAAGATCAGGCCACTGTACTCCAGCCTGGGTGACAAAGCGAGACTCTGTCCCAAAAATAAAAAAGAAAAGAAAACTACAGATAAGTGGCCTTGGCAATGACTGTAGGCAAAAACCCTCAAATGAGATACAGAAAGATGTTTTGTAAAGTGTTTCGTGAGCCCCGAGAAGAGCTGAGTATAGTCACCCCTAAGCTCAAGTGATCCTTTCACCTTAGCCTCCCAATAGCTAGGACTATAGTCGTGTCACCATTCCCTACTAATTTTTTAACACCTCCTTCCCGTCCCTCGACTCCTGCTCTCAAACTCTTCAGAAGACTTGTTCCCATGATTCTGTTGGAGACCATGTTCTCTGGAAACAGATACTGAGATAAAGTTGGGATGCAAGATGTTAATTAGGTATTAACACCTGTGAATAAGGGCAAGGAAGCAGGAGTGGGCAGAGGGAGAAGTTAAACTGAGCTGCAGGCCCAACCACACCTCTCATAACTCTGCAGAGAGCTTGGGGCAGTATTGTCTATCAAAGCAAAGCAAGTTGAACTGAAAGAGCCAGGCATTTATATCCAGCCCTGCTTAGTCACCACATGGAGCTGCCAGGAGAAAGGGTGTGACCAGGAAGAGGGACCAGGCAGCTCTTTGCAGCCAGGGGACCCTGAAGGAGCTGATGGCTGGAGGCTGTCTGCTGACTGCTCTCCCATAGCTGGGCAACAAGTCCTTCCTTGGGGGAGATCTGAGCAGCACATCTCCATGTCCACTACGCTCTCCTTACTACCATTCCCCTCTGGCACCACTGAAATCCACCTTCCATCTTCGCTTTTACTCCACTCACTCCATCCCTTTGCTCCACGCCAAATCCAGTGGGCCCTTCTTGGTTCTTACCTTACAGCTGACCTCTCTCTCATTTGTTGAAGTTATCGATTTCTACAGTAACTTCTCCTCTCTCTCCTTGACCTCTCTACCCACACTTTGCCGGCCTGTTCAGGGGTCCTGTCCTCCATGCACTACCCAAGCACTGGGACTCCATTCTGAATCCATCCTCCTCTTCCTCCGTACTCTCCCAGGCGATCCCACCCACTATCAGGGTTTTAATTCCTGTTTATATGGCAGTGACTTTGAAATGTACTCTCCAGCTATCCTCTCTGCTAGGCTTCTGATTCCCATATCTAATTGGCTGCTGGCTATCTCCATGCTAAGGGCTGTCAGAACTGTGACATTCCACCTCTCTTCTCCCACTGTGTTCCCACCCTAATACTTCCAGTGCAAGAAACCAGGGACCCTTTGAACCTGCTCTGTCAAGTTTCTTTTCTCGGCAGCCACCCCCGCTGGGTCCAGTTTGGGCATGGGTATGGAAGCACTCCGAACAGTATCAAGGACTCTGCATATGGAGATTTGCATCACTGACATATAAATAGCTGATGCTGGTGCTGAAACCAAAAGAATATTCATCACTGATCACACCCACTACTTGCCCAACCAGATGTGAACCTCTGACTCAGTGGGTCCATAGGAAAGAGTTACTCAGCACTTCCTAGGTATAGGTGATGAGAGATGGTATTCATTTATTTTACAGTTTGAAGAATCTGTAAAGAAAATCTGAAGAAAAGAGTTATCTGGGCTGGGCACGGTGGCTCACGCCTGTAATCCCAGTACTTTGGGAGGCCGAGGCGGGCGGATCACGAGGTCAGGAGATTGAGACCAGCCTGGCCAACAGGGTGAAACCCCGTCTCTATTAAAACACAAAAATTTAGCCGGGCGTGGTGGCGCATGTCTGTAGTCCCAGCTACTCGGGAGGCTGAGGCAGGAGAATCGCTTGAACCCAGGAGACGGAGGTTGCAGTGAGCCAAGATTGCGCCACTGCACTCCGGCCTAGCGACAGAGCGAGACTCCATCTCAAAACAACAACAACAAAAAAGAGTTCTCTGAGCAGGTAGCTTTTAGCCACACCTTTTATTTCCAGGCCTATACCTGTGTGGCAAAGGCTTAAATAGGAGGTATTTCTGAAGGAAAATTAACTCCAGTTTATTTAAATATACCATGCTTCGTGTATATATGTCCTCTCCTTCCAAACTGGAATTTCCAGTTAAATTCAAGGAATAATTATCAAGTAAATACAACATGACAAGAGCAAGGCTAAGTACAGGACAGTTCCTGCCTTAAGGAATCTAAGGTGAAAGGATAAGTCTAATGGAAGCGCATTCCAGTTTGCTGATGAGCACAAAAGCCATAGCAGCTAAGTGCCATGGGTTCCAGAGAAGGAAAGTGTCTCCGTGCAGGCTGGCTTCATAAAGGCTTCTGAGATAGGCCTAAAGGATAGATCAGATTTCAGGAAGTAAGCACAAGACAGGAATAAGCAAGAAATAATGATGACACACAAGGAATGGAGAGGAAAGAATGCCATCAGAAGAATATCTTCAGAGAATTGCACAATAAACAAAGAGTAATGGTAAGGAAATTTTCTTATAGCTAAGGCCAAATATTGAGACTACAGAAATACCCTGGGAGGCTAGAGAGAGGCAACGTCATGGGGGTAAGATTGGTTTTTTGTTTGATTGGTTTTTTTTGGGGGGGGCGGTTAGGTTTTTTCTTTGGAGAAGGAGTCTCCCTCTGTCACCCAGGCTGGAGGGTAGTGGCGCAATCTCAGCTCACTGCAACCTCCGCCTCCCAGGTTCAAGCGATTCTCCTGCCTCAGCCTCCCGAGTAGCTTGGATTACAGGCAACCACCACCTCGGCCGAATGATTTTTGTATTTTTAGTAGAGACAGGGTTTCACCATGTTGGCCAGTCTGGTCTTGAACTCCTGACCTCAGGTGATCCATTCACCTTGGCCTCCCAAAGTGCTGGGATTATAGGTATGAGCCACATAACCAGCCAGATTGTTAAAATAATATTATTACAAGGAGGTGGGTAGAAAAGGCCAAAATCACTGCCCCATTAACTTTTCCTAGGCCCCAGTTCAGACCCAAACTCTTTTTAGACTTCCCTTTTCTACCATCATGGGCAGCACGGGTGTTGTGGCTCCGAGACCCCTCTTCTATCCAGCTCCCTGAAAAGAACAATGCCCACTAAAGGCTTGCTGGGAGTTGATCCATCACTTCTGGTTTGGTAGAATGTTTCCCTAAGGATCTCTTGAGCCCAGGAATTCAAGACCAGCCTGAGAAACATGGAAAAAACGCATCTCCACAAGAAATGCAAAAATGAATGGGGTGTGGTGGTGTGCGCCTGTAGTCCCTAAGGGCTGTCAGAACTTAGGAGGCTAAGACAGGAGGATTGCTTGAGCCCAGGAAGTCGAGGCTGCAGTGAGCCATGATCACACCACTGTACTCCAGCCTGGGCAACAGAGCAAGACCCTGTCTCAAAGAAAAAGTTTCCCTAATGTTGCCCACATGGGTAACTCCCTCCCACCTATCCCAGTTGTAATTAAGTGAGAACACTCTAGTCCTTGTTCTTAAATGAAGGAAGTGAAAATTTGTGAGGACGAGAATGTTCTGGGCCTGGTGACCTCCCGAAGTGAGCTTGGCAGCAAATCTTCCCATTTGCCTTGGGAAAGCCCTAAAAAAACCAGAGTATGGGATACTGATAGTGGTTATAATTGCTAACGAGGTTAGGGTTTTAACACATGACGCATGCTAAGTAGTCAAAATTCCCCATTTTACAGAAAGAGAAACTGAAGTTCAAAGATGCTATGTGCAATCCCCCTACATGGAGACACAGTCTGAGTCTAGTTTCTCAAGGCCTTGGCAGGGCCTGAGGGAGTGGGTAACATGGGTATGGCTTGTATACATTTATGAATTTTGTATCTGGGAAGCAATATGGAGAAATAGCCTGTAAGGAAGGAAAAGATTAGACACTATTTACTGCAGCTCCAAACAAAACTACACAGAGGCCAGGAGCAGTGGCTGATGCCTGTAATCCCAGCATTTTGGGAGGCCAAGGTGGGTGAATCACCTGAAGTCAGGAGTTTGAGACCAGCCTGGCGAACATGGTGAAACCCTGTCTCCACTAAAAGTACAAAAATTAGCCGGGTGTGGTGGCACACGCCTGTAATCCTAGCTACTCAGGAGGCTGAGGCAGGAGAATCACTTGAACCTGGGAGGCAGAGGTTGCAGTGAGCTTGAGAGGTGACAGCCTGCTAGCAGTCCTCACAGCTCTCACTCGCTCTGGGCGCCTCCTCTGCCTGGGCTCCCACTTTGGCGGCACTTGAGGAGCCCTTCAGCCCACCGCTGCACTATGGGAGCCCCTTTCTGGGCTGGCCAAGGCCAGAGCCGGCTCCCTCAGCTTGCAGGGAGGTGTGGAGGGAGAGGCGCGAGCGGGAACCGGGGCTGCGTGCAGTGCTTGCGGGCCAGCTGGAGTTCCGGGTGGGCGTGGGCTTGGCGGGCCCCGCACTCGGAGCAGCCGGCGGGCCCTGCCAGCCCCAGGCAGTGAGGGGCTTAGCACCCGGGCCAGCGGCTGCGGAGAGTGTACTAGGTCCCCCAGCAGTGCCGGCCCACCGGCACTGCGCTCGATTTCTCGCCAGGCCTTAGCTGCCTTCGCACGGGGCAGGGCTCGGGACCTGCAGCCCGCCATGCCTGAGCCTCCCACCCACTCCGTGGGCTCCTGTGCGGCCCAAGCCTCCCCGACGAGCGCCGCCCCCTGCTCCAGGGCGCCCAGTCCCATCGACCGCCCAAGGGCTAAGGAGTGTGAGCGCATGGCCCAGGACTGGCAGGCAGCTCCACCTGCAGCCCCGGTGCTGGATCCACTGGGTGAAGCCAGCTGGGCTCCTGAGTCTGGTGGGGATGTGGAGAGTCTTTATGTCTAGCTCAGGGATTGTAAATACACCAATCGGCACTCTGTATCTAGCTCAAGGTTTGTAAACACGCCAATCAGCACCCTGTGTCTAGCTCAGGGTTTGTGAGTGCCCCAATTGACACTCTACCTAGCTGCTCTAGTGGGCCCTTGGAGAACCTTTATGTCTAGCTCAGGGATTGTAAATACACCAATCGGCACTCTGTATCTAACTCAAGGTTTGTAAACACGCCAATCAGCACCCTGTGTCTAGCTCAGGGTTTGCGAGTGCACCAATCTACACTCTGTATCTAGCTGCTCTGGTGGGGCCTTGGAGAACCCGTGTGTCCATACTCTGTATCTAACTAATCTGATGGGGACGTGGAGAACCTTTGTATGTAGCTCAGGGATTGTAAACGCACCAATCAGCACCCTGTCAAAACAGGCCACTCGGCTCTACCAATCAGCAGGATGTGGGTGTGGCCAGATAAGAGACTAAAAGCAGGCTGCCCCAGCCAGCAGTGGCAACCTGCTCTGGTCCCCTTCCACAGTGTGGAAGCTTTGTTCTTTTGCTCTTTGCAATAAATCTTGCTACTGCTCAGTCTTTGAGTCTACATTGCTTTTTATGAGCTGTAACACTCACTGCAAAGGTCTGCAGCTTCATTCCTGAAGCCAGTGAGACTACGAGCCCACCGGGAGAGACAAAGAACTCCAGATGCACTGCCTTCAGAGCTGTTAACACTCACCACGAAGGTCTGCAGCTTCACTCCTGAGCCAGTGAGACCACAAACCCACCAGAAGGAAGAAACTCCGAACACATCTGAACATCAGAAGGAACAAACTCCAGACATGCCACCTTAAGAGCTATAACACTCACCGTGAGGGTCCGTGGCTTCATTCTTGAAGTCAGTGAGACCAAGAACCCACCAATTCCGGACACAAGCTAAGATCACGCCACACTGCATCCCAGCCTGGCAACAGAGCGAGACTGTCTCAAAAAAAAAAAAAAAGGCCGGGTGCCGTGGCTCACCTTTGTAATTCCAGCACTTTGGGAGGCTGAGGAGGGTGGATCACCTGAGGTCAGGAGTTCAAGACCAGCCTAGCCAACATTGTGAAACCCCGTCTCCACTAAAAATACAAAAAATTAGCCAGACGTGGTGGGCGCCTGTAATCTCAGCTACTCAGGAGGCTGAGGCAGGAGAATCGCTTGAACCTGGAGCAGGGCTGGATGGGGGGTAGAGGTTGTAGTGAGCTGAGGTCACGCCACCACACACCAGCCTGGGCAATAAGAGTGAAATGCCATCTCAATAAATAAATAAAGATTGTGTTTGGTTCTTGAGTAACAAAAACTCAATACAATGGCCTAACTTCATAGGTGTTTATTTTTCCCAGTTATGAAGAAGACTTGAGCAGGCAGTCCAGAGCTGATACAGCTGCTCCAATCACCAGAGATGCAATCTCCTGCTAGATGTCTTCACATCTACCTTTCTATGTCACATGTGCAAGATGGTTGCTCTGCCTTCAGACATCACATCTACATTCCAGGCAGAAAGGAGAAGGAAAGAGCAAAAGATGTGTTCTGAACAAATCCATCTTAAAAACAAACAAGGGGAGGGGTAGCAGGAGAAAATTTAAAAAAAAGAAGAAGAAAAACAAAAACAGGAAAGCCGTTGTTTCCCTAAAAGCCCCATCAAGCCGACTTCTACTGGTGACTCATTACCCAGTCATGTGGCCACCCCTGGATTCAAGGCAGTCTGAGGAGGTGAGTGTTTCAAAGAGGCACATGGATGCCACAGACAAAATCAAGTTTCCATGGTTGAAGGAGAAGAGGACGATGGAGTTTGGGGAGGCAGCAGGCTACGTCTGCCACAGAAGATATAAAGATATGGAGCCACACGAGAAGATGGGGGAGGCTGCCAAAAAAGTCCACTGGGTACAGGTGAGGAGCAGGTGACATTGGAGTTGCTCCATCTGAGGAGCCCGCACCTGCAATGGCTTGTGCTCCTGCTCCTGTGGGTGTAGGCACAAGGCTGATGCCGAGAGAGTGAGTTGTTTCTGTTGGGGTTCAGAACACAATACCCCAAAGTATGGCGATGAGTACTTAACTAAAGGACATTGGAAGGCCTCAGAAGCAGCCTCAGATCCAAGGTCCCTCTGACCTGCTCCTGCCCTCCTGTCTCTCTCGTCCCTCGTGCTCCCCTGAAGTGAGTCATAGAAACCAGAATCCTCTTCCCCACGGTAGGTCCTAGAAACTAGAACCCTTTTTCCCCGAAGCAAAAGCCATAAAAACTGGAATTATTACTCTAAACTCTCCTTGACTTTTTGTCCAGAAGATGGCC